>NC_000001.11:205457314-205608829 GCF_000001405.40 Homo sapiens
GCTCCGGCTCGCCTCGCTTCGTGGAGGCCGAGAGCCCGGGGCCTCGGCTCCAGACATCAGGGGACACCAGCCGGCTGGCCGCGCCGCCCCGCCCCTCCCCTCCCCCGCCACCCGGCTTGGCCTCAGCCCCCTCCCCTCCCAATTCTGGCTTGGGTCTTGGGGACGAAGATACTAGGGGAAAAGGCCTAGAGGCCGAAGATCCCAGTATCTTTCCTCCTCTCCCGCCACGCCCCCTTCCCAAGGAGGCGGAAGTGGGGGGGGGGGGGCAGCAGGGGTTGGTCACCTGAGCCCAACCCGCTTCAGTCAGAGAGGGCTTTTAGAGCCCTCGAGAGGATCCCTTCAGTGACCACGGCCCATGTCCTGCCCCACACACAATGACAAAGAAGAGATGGCACTAAGGATCTTTGCTTTTCTCCTCTCTCCAGCCCCCTCAACTGCAGTCCAATATTGTTACTAATTTCTTTCCTTTGGCCCACCTTGGCAGACAGCTCATTAACTGCCTGGAAGGAAATGCCCTCTGGTTCAAAGCAGCTTCCTGCCAAGAATTCATTCATTTAGCAAGAAATATGCAGGATCCTCCCCCCACCGCCCCCCACCACCCGTGCCATGACACGGGCTGGGTGCCAGGAATGCAAAAGAAGAAGATCCAGATGAGACAATCATGTTTTTAAAAAGCAACAAATACTGGAGTCAGAGGTGTTATCCCAGTGTGAGAGGTGCTAAACCAAGGTACAGGCAAAGTTTGAACCCAAAAGGCAGGATTGAGTAACTTCAGCCATTCATTCAATAATAATGTAGCATGTCTTCCATGCCAGGCTCTGTGCTAGGCATTGGGGATATACACAGGTGAACCAGTGCGTGTGGTGCCCAGTCCTCTGGAGTGCACAGTCTGCTGGACAAGATGAACACTGACTAGTGCCATATGAGCTAATCAGGAGACATCTGGGGAGTGTGAATAATGGGGACTCTTACTCTTCACTGGGGAGCCCAGAAAGGCTTCTCTGAGGAATGAGATCTAAAGGATGAAAGATAGCTGGGTGAAGATGGGATGGTGAGGGGCAAGGGAAGAGTTCTGGTCAGAAGAAACCTGTAGAGAGGCCCTTGAGCTGCTAGTAACTGGCTCATGAGAAAGCAGTGAATCGTCCAGCTTGCAGAGAGGGAGCACACAACAGAGCGAGGTGGGCCTAGGAAGGACCTGCAGAAGCTAGAGAGCTGCCCAGAGTAGTATTTGCAGGTGTAATCCAGGCAGATTTCTCCAGGTTCCAAAGACTAATGTTTTGAAAGAGGCTTACCTGTGTGTTGCTCTTTCTGAGCCCAACCCCACACTGTAGCCCCCTTTAACTTCTAGTGTCTGATGGTTGCAATTGGCCCAACTTTGTCCCTGCTGAAGACATCCCCAAAATAAAGAACATAGATGATGACATCCCTGTTTCAATCTGTCACTCCCCAGTGGCCTGCACCACTCTGTTTACCTCCTCATTTAGTGACCACTGGCCTTCACCTGGGGGGAGCTATCAATAGCACTGGCTAGACTCCTTTCCATGATCTGGGATTGTATGCTTTCCTATACATTTACTATCCCTAGATTCTCACAAGAGCCCTGAGAGTTAAGTTTATCTCCACCGGACAGATAGGGAAACAGAGTCAGAAAGAGGCAGTGGCTTGCTTAGTACCATGTACAAATTCATTGGCCAGAAGAATTGTTTGGCTCCCTGCCTTTTCTCTATTATACTTCAGGTATTTGCTAGCCTCCCAGCTTATCCACGAGCCCAAGATGGTAGAGGCTAAGTAATCCCCTGCCTCTACCAGAGCCTTCAGCACCTAGGACAGGGCCCTGCACACCCAGGCTCTGGAGCCAAACCTGCTGATGTGAGAGGCTGTGGTAGAAGGGAAGGAAATGATTAAATGGTAGATCTGGGAACATGTTATAGCAGAAACTGTTTGGGCTTTGGACTTAACATGCACTTCGATGGGAATTGCCACTGTTACCAACACGCTCTGAGCCATGGTTCCCTCATCTGCCAAATGGGATTTAAGATATCCATCTGAGAAGGCTGTCGTGAAGATTAAATGAAATTGTATATGTGTCGAATGTCTATGGAAAAATACACAAGACATTGCTAATGATAGGTACTTCTGGAAGGGGACCTGAGTGGATGGGGCACCTGCTTTCATTGTTCCCCCTCTAGCAGTTGTGATGTTGTACCATGTGCATGTATTACCTGTCCAAAATAAATAGTGAAATACTTTAATAATATGTAAAACAACATAAAAACAATACTAAAATAGGCACTCTGTGCACTTTTGTTGAACTGAATGGAGTTTTGTGGTTTGAAGCACTGAGATGTATTATCGAGGAAAATCACAGAGTCTCCTTCAGAAAGTGATGTTGGCCTGAAGGTTTGCACAGTGCCGTGTCTTCAGGCAGGGGTGAAGATGGCTAACCAGGTGAGATGTTTTCCAGCCCAGAAATTCTACAGTTCAAACCCTCGTTCACAGAGGTAAATAGCATCCCAGCAGGCTCACTTTCTATTGAGAGATCCAAATCCCTGCAGGTAATAGGAGATGTGTGGGGACAAAGCAGGAGTCATGGGGAGGAAAGGCTGTGGGTCTGGGCAGCCCCTCAGCGGCCCCATTCTGTCCAGAGAGGATAAGACAGAGAGAGACTCCTGATCTGCTGACCTGGTGCTGCTCTTTTCTGGCTTAGTGAGCTAGCTCCCTGCCCAACCACCCTGTAGCCCCAAAGAAAGCTGAGAGCAGCAGGTGCAGAGCCTAAGGAGGGGAGTGGGCTTTCTCCTGTTACCCTCCAGGGATTGAGGTCCTGGGACAGTGCAGGGCAGCCATTCATCAGCCAGCACAAAGAGACAGTCTCTCAGCCACACAGAGACCAGGTCGGGTCACCTCAGACACTGGGGCATAACATCAGTGGGAACTTTAGAGGTGTCTTAAAAAAAACCCTTTGGACTTTCACATCTAGTGGTATTGGCGGAAGGGTTGGGACAGGAAGGAAGCATTCTGTGGGAGATCCTGGGGAGGAAAAGGCAAAGATAGGCCCCAGCTTCAGTGAAATGGAGGAGGGCAGGTGGAATCAAAAAGGCTAGAAAAATAGGAGTTGGACGGGCGCGGTGGCTCATGCCTGTAATCCCAGCACTTTGGGAGGCCAAGATGGGCAGATGACTTGAGGTCAGGAGTTCAAGACCAGCCTGGTCAATATGGCAAAACCCCGTCTCTACTCAAAATAAAAGGAGTTAAAAGAAATAAAAATAGCTGGGCGTGGTGGCTCACAGCTGTAATCCCAGCACTTTGGGAGGCTGAGGCGGGCAGATCACCTGAGGTCAGGAGTTCAAGAGTAGCCTGGTGAAACCCCAGTTCTACTAAAAATACAAAACTTAGCCGGGTGTGGTGGTGTGCACCTGTAATTCCAGCTACTTGGGAGGCTGAGGCAGGGCAATCACTTGAACCCGGGAGACGGAGGTTGCAGTGAACCAAGATTGCACCACTGCACTCCAGCCTGGGCGACCAAGCGAGACTCCGTCTCAAAAAAAAAAAAAAAAAAAAAAAAGAAATAGAAATAGAAATAATTTATTCTGGAGAAGAAGCAACTAAGAAGGAAAAGGAAGGGAAGGCAAAGGCCCAGGACTGGGTGGCCATATTTTCATCTAAAGAAAAAATGTGGCTGTGCCTTTTTCTGCTCTGAGCTTCCAGAGGAGGGAGGCTCTCTGTTTCCCTTCTGAGGCAGAGGGTGCAGTGTTTTAGTCTGGGGCAGGGATATCCTGCAGCTCCAATTTGGACAGGTCACCTTACTGACCCCTACCTTTGCCTCCTGTCCCCCTTCTCCTAATTAACACGAAACACACTGTAGCCCAGTCCCTGGTCAGTCTTGAAAACAGAGATAACTTTCATCAGAAAGGACAAAATGCAGATGCTTTCCTTGCTAAGCAATCAGAAGTACTTAGAAATTGCCGTCACTCACAGCATCCTGAGTCTGTTGTGTGTAGCACAGTGGGCTAGAGCCTATTCCTGTTACAGTCACCAGAGCATCAGCTCTGTGATCCAGATAGAAAGCCACAGTTTTCATCAATGAATATGTCATGTGCCTAGCACAACACCGGACACTTCATGGATACAAGGATTCATTTCAGTCATCCTTTTCTTCAGGAGAGTCCTCATTGCCACCTAAGAGTCTGGACTGTGTGTAGCTTTAACTGACCGTCCACTTTCCTGGATGACAGTATCAGGCATGGCAATACCATCCCTCAACCCATACTTCACTGATATAATAAATACAAATGGATGCAAACAGGTGAGAATTACTTCATGGTCCCATCACAATCCACCAACCCATCTACACAATCTCTACTCATATTCTCTGCCTTCCCTGCAGCTGTAATAGATGAAAAGTCTCCACTCCTACTTAGGGCCAACTCCTGCATTTTTGCACTGGATCCCATCCACCCTCACTTCTGTGTCTTTGCTCCTTGAAATTATACCCTGTCTTTCCTGAATCATCAGTTTCTCCTTCAACCCTAGATCATCCCCACATACAGAAAAACATGCCTTAATGTTGCCTACCTTAAAAAAAAAACAGCCAGGTGCTGTGGCTTAAGCCCGTAATCTGAGCACTTTGGGAGGCCGAGGTGGACAGATCATGAGGTCAGGAGTTGGAGACCAGCCTGGCCAACATGGTGAAACCCCATCTCTACTAAAAATACAAAAAAATTAGCTGGGCGTGTTGGTGCGCACCTGTAAGTAATCCCAGCTACTTAGGAGGCTGAGGCAGGAGAATCGCTTGGACCCAGGAGGCGGAGGTTGCAGTGAGCCGAGATCGTGCCACTGCACTCCAGCCTGGGCGACAGAGTGAGACTCCATCTCATAAAAAATAAAATAAAATAAAAAAACCTTTCCTGGCTCCCACACCTTTTTCTAGGTAATAGCCCTTTTCTTTATCATTTTACAGCAAAACTCAAGATAGTTCTCTGTAATTACTCTACACTTTCTTACCTTTATTCACTCCTCAGCTCACTCCAGTTTGACTTCTGTCTTCACCACCCTGCTAACACTTCTCTTGTCAAAATCATCGACAGTCTCCATCTTGCAAAATCCAAAGGCTGAAGCCAGTTCAATTTCACCCATCATCATAAGTGTATGACATAATTGACTGCTCTCTCCTCCTTCCAGCTCTTCCCTTGAGACACTTCCTGGTACCCCTGCCTCACTGGCCATTCCTCTGTCTCTCCCTGGGCTCTTTTCTCCTCTCAATTCTCGCAAACCCACTCTCTAGGCAATTTTATTCCTTTGGCTTTAGAAACCAAGCTCTCTCCTAAGCTGCAGGCTTGCATATCCAAATGCTCATTTGACCTCTTCACTCAGCTGTTGTATTAGCTTCCTAGAGCTGCTTTAACAAAGTACTGCAAATTATGTGGCTTAAAATGGCAGAAATCTGTTGTCTTACAGTTCTGGAGGCTAGAAGTTCAAAATGAAGGTGTTGGCAGGGCCAGGCTGACCCCTCTAGGGGAGGATCCTTCCTTGCCTTTTCTAGCCCCAGGCGTTCCTAGGCTTGTAGCAGCATCACTCCAGTCTCTGCCGTCTTCATCACTGTGAGACCATCTTCTCTCTGTGTCTATGTCTTCATATGCTGTTCTTCTCTGTGTGTTTTTGCTGAACTTGATCTCTCTCTTTTTTTTTTCTTTTTTTTTTGAGACAAAGTTTCACTCTTGTTACTCAGGCTGGAATGCAATGGCGCAATCTCGGCTCACTGCAACCTCTGCCTCCCAGGTTTAAGCAATTCTCCTGCCTCAGCCTCCCAAGTAGCTGGGATTACAGGCATGAGCCACTGTGCCCGACCAATTGATCTCTCTCTCTCTCTTATTTTTTTTAGACAGAGTTTCGCTCTTGTTGCCCAGGCTGGAGTGCAATGGCTCCATCTCAGCTCACTGCAACCTCTGCCTCCTGGGTTCAAGTGATTCTCCTGTCTCAGCCCCCTGAGTAGCTGAGATTACAGGTACCCACCACTACCCCCAGCTAATTTTTTGGTATTTTTAGTAGAGACGGGGTTTCTCCATGTTGGCCAGGCTGGTCTCAAACTCCTGACCTCAGGTGATCTGCCCCCCTCGGCCTCCCAAAGTGCTGGGATTACAGGCATGAGCCACCGTGCCGGGCCGATCTCTTTTTATAAAGATGATAGTTATATTGGATTAGAGCCACCCTCATGACCTTATCTTATTACATGTGCAAAGACCCTATTTCCAAATAAGATCACATTGACAGGTATTGGGAATTAGGACTTTTTTGGGGGAGACACAAGTCAACCCATAACAGATGTCTACCAGGAACTTTGAATTTAACATGTCCATGATGGAATTCTTGATTTCCATACCCTTTGCTCCCAATCGCTCCTCCTTCAGTAATAGGACCATCAGCGCTGTCCGAAAACGTAGAGAACATCCTTGATTCCTCTCTTTTTCTCGCCCTCCCACAGCTAATCTATCAGCCAGACCCATTGCTCAAATCCAACCACTTCTGTCTGTCTCCCTGGCTGCCCCTTGAGTCTAGTGTTCTTGCCCCTCTCCTGGCTGACTGCGCCAGCTTCCTCCCTGGCCTCCTGCTTCCACTCATTCTTCCCACTACAGTCTACTTTCCATCTAAAAGCCAGAGTGAGTGTTTTAAAGCACAAATCAGATCACATCCCTCCCACTGCTTAAAACCTTCCAAAGACTTCTTACTGGAATTAGAATAAAATCCAAGCTTCTTAACTTGGCTTATGAGGTTTTACACGGTCTGACCCTTCTCTCGTTTACTACAACTCTCCCCAACACTCACCTCCTCTCCAGCTGCACAAGCCTTCCTTCTGGCTTCCCTGAACATTCCAAGATTGTTCTCGCTGAGGGCCTCACACTTGTTGTTTCTTCTGCCTGGAACACCCTTCCATCATCTTGGCATGAATAACTTTGTCTCATCATTCCAGGTGTATCTCAAATGTTACCTCCTGAGAGAAGCTCCCTATTGCAATAGGCACTCTCTATCCCCTTACTCTATCTTACTTTATTCATAGTTTTATTTCTAACTGAGAATGTTTTATTTATTGGCTTCTGTGTTACTATCCAACTCTCCTATTAGAATGTAAGGGGCCCCAATACCTACAGCAGATTCAGTACATAGTAGGGCCTCCATATTATTTTTTTTTATTATTATTATTTTGAGATGGAGTCTCACTCTGTTACCAGGCTGGGGTGCAGTGGTGCAATCTCGGCTCACTGCAACCTCCACCTCCTGGGTTCAAGTGATTCTCCTGCTTCAGCCTCCCGAGTAGCTGGGACTACAGGCATGCGCCACCACGCCCAGCTAATTTTTGTATTTTCAGTAGAGACAGGGTTTCGCCATGTTGGCCAGGATGGTCTCAATCTCTTGACCTCGTGATCTGCCTGCCTCAGCCTCCCAAAGTGCTGGGATTATAGGCAAGAGCCACCGCGCCTGGCCTGGGACTCCATATTATTTATTAAATAACATAAATTTACTACTACATGCCAGGCACTGTACTAGGTATTGCTTTTGCAATAAGCAAATGGTAAAATATGTTTTTGTTTGTTTGTTTGTTTTTGTTTTTGTTTTTTTGAGACTGAGTCTTGCTCTATCATCCAGGCTGGAGTGCAGTGGTGCAATCTCTGCTCACTGCAACCTCCACCTCCCGGGTTCAAGCAATTCTGCTGCCTCAGCCTCTTGAGTAGCTGGGAATACAGGCACCCGCCCCATGCCTGGCTAATTTTTGTAGTTTTAGTAGAGACGGGGTTTCACCATGTTGGCCAGGCTGGTCTCGAACTCCTGACCATGTGATGCGCCCACCTTGGCCTCCCAAAGTGCTGGGATTACAGGCATGAGCCACTGTGGCAGGCGGTAAAATATGTTTCTTCTTTATGAACAAGACAGTGACCCTTCCCCTGGGGAGCATGTCCCAGAGAAAACCAGGTGCTGAACAACTTGTTAGCAACATTATCTCTGAGGATGGGTAAGTTCTCTGTCTTGGGGCCACAGAAGTTTCTCCAAACCTACACCACTCCTGACCCTTCCCTGCCTCCGCATCTCAGTAGATGATCTTGCTTTCTACTTCGCAGAGAAAACTGAGGTCTGGACCAGGAACTGTTGCCCCAACCTATTTCCTTCCCTTTCCTCCTTTCTGCCTGCCCTTCTGGAAAGAGTGTAGGCTTTGCATTCAAGCAAACACAGGTGCTAACTGTGGGTTTGTGAGTTACCTTGGGCAAATTACTTAACCTCTGAGTCTCAGTTTCCTCATCTGTAAAATGGTCGTGATAACACCTACCTCATTAGGTTGTCCTGAAGATTAAATGAAACATCCTATATCAACATGCCTGTCTTTTCATAGTTGCTCAGTAAATGGTCCATTCCTTTCTCTGACCCTCTCTCCCCAGCCACCTGATGAGATAAGTGCTATCCTTCCTGTTTTACAGATGAGGAAACTGAAGGCAAGTCTACTGATGTTCAAGTCTGTCAGTTAACTTACCCAAAGTCACATGTTGCTAAGTGGCAGGCCCTGAGTTAATTCCATATCTCAGACTCCAGCCCCAGGGGATCGCGCTGCTACTGCAAAAAGCAAATGCGAAGACAATCAGTTGGCATTTTAATAATGCCGAATTAATTCAATTTAAAGATTGTTCCTTAGTCTGACATTTTGTCCATTCTCTCTCTCTCTCTCTCCCCACCACCCTTAGTGTTGTTAGAATGTCCTTTATCTCTCTTTCTCTTTTTTTTTTTTTTTTTTTTGAGATAGGGTCTCACTCTGTCACTCAGGCTGGAGTGCAGTGGCACGATCTTGGCTCACTGCAGCCTTGGGCTCAGGTGATTCACCCACCTCAGCCTCCTGAATAGCTGGGTCTACAGGCATGTGCCACCGTGCCCAGCTAATTATTTGCATTTTTAGTAGAGATGGGGTTTTGCCATGTTGCCCAGGCTGGTCTTGAACCCCTGGCCTCAAGTGATCTGCCTGCCTTGGCCTCCCAAAGTGCTGGGATTACATGTGTGAGCCACTGTACCCAGCCTAGAATGTCCTTTATCTTAAGAAATGATTATTGTATTTTTTCCTTACTTGGAAAGAAAGCTAGCTATACAACATCCACCCCCTGCATTACAAAACTGCCTTAAACAGCCTAGGTAGGCTGCCCCTCCTTATTTCTGGCAAAGGGCTGGCCCCAGAATGTGTGTATTAGAGGGGCTAAAGTTGGTGCTTTGGTTGGGAAGAGGAAGTCGAGGAATTGTCTAAAAGCTAGTTACATAACTATTAACCTTTTTTTGAAGGAATTAATGGAGAATTCAGAGAAATCAGAGCTTCTACCCCACCACCCTCTGTCATTGCACTGCCCTGGCACATGGGCACAACGTCTTCTGAGAAGGGACACAAACTGCTCAGACATGCGGCATCCTCCCTGTAGTCCTCCTTTCCTGGCCAGTTGGAGAACGATCTCTGCCTTTCAGTTCTGAACAGCTTCCAGCATGCCCCATAGGGAACATTTTGGATTTGAATGAAGAGCATAAAAATGTGGTCAGCATATTGGCCTTGGTATTTGATTTTCTTTTTTCCATGCAACCGGCCCCAGGAGGTGACTGACAAGTTGGGCCAAGTGCACTGAAAGCCCTGTCTCGGCTGGCCCATAACTCCTGAGCTACACAGACCCCTAAGGACCCCGTGAGCCAGCAGAGAGCCATAAATCCAGCAAGCTGGAGGCTGGGAGCTCACTGATTGCACTGGGGAAAAGCAGCCTGATCTGATTGCTATGTGAGCTGGAGAGAGAAAAGGTGGTAACTGGAGTGCTGGAAATACAACGACTTTGGAACAAAATGAAGCAACAGAGGAATGGCAGGAGGGACTGTGGTTTTCTCATCTGTACAACAAAGGGGCTGGATTGGACTGCCTCTGAAGCCCTTTCATCACAGAAATTCTGTGTTTCTCTTTGTAACTAAGGTCAAACAGATGTGGGAGGGTGTCAGGATGGGAAAGCAAGATCGGGGGACCCAGAGAAGCCAGAAGAGGCAACGAGGAGGCCAACATATTTACTGCCCAATTACTATCACATTTTTTGGTGTGTGTGTGAGACAGGGTCTCACTCTGTCTCCCAGACTGGAGTGAAGTGGTGTGATCTCGGCTCACTGCAAACTCCGCCTCCCAGGTTCAAGCGATGCTCATACCTCAGCCTCCTGAGTAGCTGGGATTACAGGCACATGCCACCACACCTGGCTATTTTTTTATTTTTAGTAGAGATGGGGTTTCACCATGTTGGCCAGGCCGGTCTCGAACTCCTGGCCTTAAGCCACTCACCTGCTCAGCCTCCCAAAGTGCTGGGATTACAGGTGTGAGCCACTGCACCCGGCCAACTATCACATTTAATTCTCAGAATAACAAGTGAGATAGATATAGTTATCGCTATTTTACAGAGAACACTGAAGTACAGAGGCTACATTAATATCTCAAGGTCACAAGGCTCCGTGCTCAGGCTGGGATTCCAACCCAGGCAGTCTGACCCAGAGCCTGCACGCTTGGTCATGAAGCCCTCTCGCCTGAGTATGCAATGTGACCAGGAAAACCCTGGAGGAAACATGTACACAACTTGTGTTTCCTTACTTTTAAGGGTAAGAGTGGAAAACAGATAGTCCCCATGGAGTAGATTGTCCAAAATACACATCTGTCTTCTGGGAAAGAGGAGTGTGTGTGTGTGTGTGTGTGTGTGTGTGTGTGTCCATAGGGGATGTAACAGACAGAACCAAGAAGCATGTAGGTGAAAATATTTAATAGGGATGAATGTAAATTCCTGTACCTGGGCACAGAATCCCCATTATATAAAAATAGAATAGAGAGTTAGGATCAGAAAGCATCAATTTAGGGGCTTCACCTGACAGTAAGCTCAGGTTGAACACCAGTGTGGTGAGGCTTCCAGAAAAGCCCACCACAGGGCTGCATCAACAGAAGGGAAGTGTCCCACACCAGGACAGAACCCTTAGACCATTCGCGCTAGGTTGAGTTCCAGGCCCCTTGCTATAAGAGGGACAGAGCCAGGCCGGAGAGGATAAAGAGGAGAGCAACAGGGATAGTGATGGACATCTGAGGAAGAGGTAAAACACCAGTTGAAAGAACCAGGCCAGACATGGTGGCTCATGCCTGTAATCCCAGCACTCTGGGAGGCCAAGGCAGGTGGATCACCTGAGGTCAGGAGTTTGAGACCAGCCTGGCTAACATGGTGAAATCCCGTCTCTACTGAAAATACAAAAATTAGTCAGGTGCAGTGGTGGGCACCTGTAATCCCAGCTACTTGGAAGGCTGAGGCAGGAGAATTGCTTGAACCCAGGAGACAGAGGTTGCAGTGAGCCAAGATTGTGCCACTGCACTCCAGCGTGGGCAACGGAGAGACTCTGTCATAAAAAAAAAGAAAAGAAAAAGAAAGAACCAGGTGACATTGTGCAAGTTACACCATACATCACAACGTCAGTTTTCCTATCTGCAAAAGGGGTTTATTAGTAGGGACGGCATAGAGATTAAATGAGGTAATGCATGTAAAGTGCTTAGCTGGGGGCTGGACATAATAAACGTTAGCTGCACCAGCCGTTATTAAACCCTGAGCATGCTCACCTCAGACAAGGGGTGCATCAGGGACCTGGCTGGAGGATCAAGCACAGGGATCTCCATGGCATGGGTCCAGAGTCACAGCTCTGCATGTAGCTTAGTGAAGCCAAAGGCCCCACAAGTTGTTCCTCATCCTCTGACATAAGTTCTATTAAACCTCAGCAGCTCATTCTTCTTGGTGGTAGTGAGTTCTCTTAGTGATCAAAGCACAAAGGTGTCTGGCTAGCACTGTTCCCTCCTTTTGGGCAGGCTAGTTGGGTGGGCAGGGAGTGCAGGGGCCATGGGACCAGCAGGGCCCCCAGTGACTGCCAAGGTCCAAGGCACCTCCTGCTGGCTCATTCAGCCCCCTCCTGTTCTGGTCCTTCCCCTTCCCCAGCCCACAGCCCCATCTTGTCCTCCTCCACCCTCCTTGCTCTCTTGCTGGGAGCAGGGACAGCAATGCTAGTCTCCCCTTTGACGCTTTTCCTGAACATTGGCTGAGCATCAGTTTCCTACACTGGCAGAAGCGAGACACACAGTAGGCTTTCAAGGACAGAGAGGAGGAGGACTGAATGCTTAGAAGACAGCAAAGTACATCACAGGCTGTTGGGTTGGAAAGCACCTGCAGGATCACCTAGTTTAATCCTTAGACTTGGTGGTTTTCTAACTGTACTGAGCATAGAATTATTTGCGGTAGATTGTTTAAATGCAGATTCCCGGGCCCTACGTACTGAAATACAGTCTCTTGGGTGGATTCCCAGGAATTTCATTTGTAACCAGCTCCAGCAGGTGATAGCCCATGCAGGTGGTCTGGGTGGACATTTTGAGGAACACTGCCCTTATTCCTGACTCCTCTCCATATTTCTACTACATTCCTGCCACATAGCCATGAGAAAACTCACAGAAAAGAGTTCACAGAACGCCTCTGCTCTCAACTCATTCACAGTCTAGCTGGAGACAGAGGACAGCCACAGGAGCAGTTAGTGCTCAGGTCTTGACCGAGGGCCTGCCATGGGAGTTCAGAGGCAGGCTGGCCCAACTCAAGGCTCCGGGAGGAGACAAGGTTTGAGCAGGGCCAGGACAACCGGATATGGTTTTCTTCCCTAGTCAGCTAAGATCTGTTCTTAGTGGAGGTGCTCAATTAGCCAAGCTCATGAATTCTGCATGTCTGACTGACTTTCATCCACCTCCCTCTCCTCCCTTCAGATGGAGCCCTCTGCTCTCTGGGATGTAATTACGATATCTGGCCTGTTTTAATGAAGGCAAAAATATTCAGTATTTGTATGCGACTTCTCCCATGTTGGAGAGGGTGGGAGGGGGCAGGGCAGGGAGGCGGAGCCTTGGGAGAATGAGAGACTAATAACCGCACCTTTGCACTACCATCTAGCATCTCAGTTCACAAAGTCCATTCGCAAGTATTTTCTCATGGAATCTATGGCCCTACCACGGTGGCCAAGTGTTTTAGAACCATTTGTGCCAGCAAGGTGTGTCTGCATGGTGTTTTAAATGATGTTGACATTATGTCAGCTCAAGTAAATCAATATTTCCATGTCAACCAACTCATTTAGCTGAGAGTTCACATACCAGGATATCAGTTAACTTACATCAAAAATGTTTCATTAGGAAGTCAGTTTTTATTTCTCTTATTGTTCATGGTGATGTTCACTGACCTATTCCTAGCATGTTACACTAACCTTGAACTGTTGATTGGAATAAGCACAATTGTTTTACAAACCACTAGAAAAATAAAGAGTTTTATTAGTTACTATACAACCATTGGTTGTAAACTATGTGCCAATTTCAAAGATACTAAAATTTGAAAAATAATGCATGTTTAAATCTGTAAAATGGGCCAGGCACACTGGCTCATGCCTGTAATCCCAGCACTTTGGGAGGCCGAGGCAAGCAGATCACTTCAGGTCAGGAGTTCAAGACCAGAATGGCCAACATGGAGAATCCCCGCCTCTGCTAAAAATACAAAAATTAGCCAGGTGTGGTAGCAGTGCCTGTAATCCCAGCTACTCGGGAGGCTGAGGCAGGAGAATCACTTGAACCTGGGAGGTGGAGGTTGCAGTAAGCCAAGATCACACCACTGTACTCCAGGCTGGGCGACAGAGCAAGACTCTATCTAAAAAAGAATAAATAAATAAAAATAAATAAATAAATCAGGAAAATGGTCTAGGTGACAATGGACACAACAATAAACATTAGTCCACCTGACTTTGGCACATGAATTTTTTTTTTTTGAGACGGAGTCTCTGTCGCCCAGGCTGGAGTGCAGTGGCGCGATCTCGGCTCACTGCAAGTTCCGCCTTCCGGGTTCACGCCATTCTCCTGCCTCAGCCTCCCGAGTAGCTGGGACTACAGGCACCCACCACCATGCCTGGCTAATTTTTTGTATTTTTAGTAGAGATGGGGCTTCACCATGTTAGCCAGGATGGTCTTGATCTCCTGACCTTGTGATCCTCCCACCTCAGCCTCCCAAAGTGCTGGGATTACAGGTGTGAGCCACCACACCCAGCTGGCACATGAATTTTTTTACTCAACATTGATCCCAAATTCAATAGCAAATGGGAGAGGTACAGAAGGAGAGAGGTGAGAGGCAGTTTCCAACTTATCAAGCTAGAAGATCATAGACCATTCTTCTTATGCTCTAAAAGAGCATAGAGACTTAAAATTTTACAGTTCCATTTCATAGGTGAAATTATCAGTGCTCCAAGACATACATGGCTGCTCAAGGCCACACAGGTAGGAGTGGCATGGAACTCAACACTAGGGCTTCTGCTTCAAAATTCAGTGACCTGAACAACTCAAATTCCATCAACTGATGGGTGAATGGATAAACAAAATATGGTATAACCACATGGTAGAATATTATTCAGCCAGAAAAAGGAGTGAAATAGTGATACATGCTACAACATGGCGAACCTTGAAAACATTCTGCTAAGTGTAAGAAGTCAGACACAAAAAGCACATGTTTATTTATATGAAATATCTAGAATAGGCAAGTCCACTGACAAGAAAACAGCCGAGTGGTTGCCAGGGGCTGAGAGGAGGGGCAATAGGAGTGACTGCTCATGGGAATGGGGTTTCCTTTTGGGGGGATGAAATGTGCTGGAACTAGATGGTGGTGATGACACACATCCAATGTACTGAGTGTCACTAGTGGCCGGGCACGGTGGCTCATGCCTGTAATCCCAGCACTTTGGGAGGCTGATGTGGGTGGATCACGAGATCAGGAGTTCAAGACCAGCCTGGCTGATATGGTGAAACCCAGTCTCTACTAAAAATACAAAAACTAGCCAGAAGTGGTGCACGCCTGTAATTCCAGCTACTCGGGAAGCTGAGACAGGAGAATTGCTTGAACCTGGGAGGTGGAGGTTGCAGTGAACCGAGATCATGCCACTGGACTCTAGACTGGGCGACAGAGTGAGACTCCGTCTCAAAAAAATAAATAAAAAATAAATGTCACTAGTGGTAAATTTTATGTTCTGTGTATTTTACTACGATTGAAAGAAAGGAAGGAAGGAAGGAAAGAGGGAGGGAGGGAAGGAAGGAAGGAGAAAGCAAGAAAGAGGAAGGAAGGCAGGAAGGAAGGAAGGAAAGAAGGAAGGAAGAAGGAAGGAAGGCAGGCAGGAAGGAAGGAAAGAAGGAAGGAAGGAAGTCAGGGAAAATCGAATATTCCATGTTCCCTCCTCCCTGGTACTGTGCAGCCCTGGTCTGCAGGCTGGCACAGCAAGTGCCTACCATGCAGGGGGCGCTGAATAAATTGTTGATAGAATCGGGGGTCGCCGCTGTTTTAGAGAATTTAGGAAATCCCCAGAGAAAAGACAGCGCTTTGCTCTGGAGGTCACAGTCAGGAGGCTGGGGGTGGAGGTGGGCAGAGAGAAAAAGAAGTGAGAAAAGAGAGCTGTGGAGGGACAGGCAAATGGGAGAAACAGGGAAAAAGAAAAGAAAGAAGAGAGAAAAGTGGGGAAGGGGAAAGGGTCTTTTCTCCAGAGAAAGCAGGGCAGGAAGGAGAGAAGAGCGTGGGCTGAGGTGAGTGGAGGAAGGAGGGGCAGCGGGGAGAAGCTGGGGCAGCTGGAGAGCTAAGGTGCCAGAGGAGAGGGCACAGCGGGCACTTGGCAAGCCCACTCCCCACCCTCCACCCGGGTTGTGCCCCTCCTCCTCCCACAGGAAGATGAGCAGAGCTGGCCTGAGATCATCTGTCTTCATTACACCGTCCCCACCAGCCCTGTCACTTCTTGCCAGAAAACTCATCAATATTCCCCTGAGACTTGCCAGCCCCAGCCCCTTTCCTCCCCTGCCCCCACCCCAGCCCCCCACCATCCTCCAAGGCCATGTGCCTGGACCATCTGATGAGCACACCCGAGTCCTCCGCTCCAGGGTCCCTGCTCTTCTCTCTCTCCTCGGCAGATCCAACCAGGGCCCTCCCTCCTGGCCGCAGGGTCCGTGCTAGGGAGGAAATGGACGCATTCCCTGGAGCTGGGGAGAAGCCTTCCTGGAAGCCAGCCGGGCTGAGAGGAGCTATCTCAGTGTGTCAGCCCCATGGGGAAGACATCCTTGACCCCTGTGTTTGAAATTTCAAAGCACCCCCCAGCACTTGGTATCCCTTGCATGTACTTCATTTTTCTCTAGTCTAAACCCTTGACCGTTGTCTAGTATGGGCTCTGTATATATAACCTATAGTGCATATTTACGTTGTTTATTCATCTCCTCCTTGTAGAATACTCTGGGAGGGCAGGGCTTATGTCAGATGCGTTCACTGCTGCATACCCACGCCTAGGACAGTGCTGGGAACATAAGTGGAATGAATGAGTGTTGCAGTGTTGGGTTTGGATGCCCAGCAGCAAAGTGTTGGCACCTTCTGGGTGCCTAACAGCCTCACTAAAGATTGGGATAGGGAAGTTTCAGTACTGAAATCCAATGGCTTCAATACCAAGAAACAAAAGCAGAAGCCAGATTTAAAAATTCCTCTGATTCTCACCCATCCAGTGGCCTCTGTTACCTTTAGAATAAAACTCAAACTGTTTCCCAACCTGGCCCAACTTGATGAGGCCCCTGGCTGCATTTTTCATCTCATTTCCTACTAAGCTCTGCCTCATTCACTCTGCAGAAGCCACTGTGGACCTCTTGCAGCTGCTCCAACCCTTGTCCCAACCTACCAAGGTTATTCCCCACTGAGTGTTTTAGCACCACAGCCCAGACTTTAATACAGGCAGGTGAGCCCGGAGAGCTCAGTGGGTAGAGCATCAGACTTTTAATCTGAGGGTCCAGGGTTCAAGTCCTCGTTCGGGCATCCTATTTTGGCTGGGCACGGTGGCTCATTCCTGTAATCCCAGCACTTTGGGAGGCTGAGACGGGAGGATCACAAGGTCAGGAGTTCGAGACCAGCCTGGTAAGTATGGTGCAAACCTGTCTCTACTAAAAAGTGCAAAAATTAGCCGGGCATGGTGGCGTGTGCCTGTAATCCCAGCTACTTGGGAGGCTGAGGCAGGAGAATTGCTGGCAGGGTGAAGTTGCAGTGAGCCAACATCGTGCCACTGCACTCCAGCCTGGGTGACAGAGTGAGACTCTTGTCTCAAAAAAAAAAAAAAAAAAAATACAGGCAGGCAACTGGCTTCAGACAGCCTGTCCCTCATTCTATTTAGGTCTCAGCTAGAATCTCACCTCCTCAGAGATGCCTGCCCTGACCACCTAAGCTAACACAGCATCCCCCATCCCTCTCCAACCCCTGACCTGCTTTTTCCCTTCTGGTGCTACCTGACTGTATAGTACATATGTTTGTTTATGGCTCTTTCATTAGAGTGTAAGCTCCATGAGGGCAGGAACTTTGGTTCACCCCAGGTAGTAGGTGCTGTTGGTACTCTGCTCACCTCCTTTGCTCTAACTACAGAGCAGTGCTTAACCATCCACCAGCATCTGCCTTTCTTTGCCAGATGGCTTTCTCCTGCGGTACCTGCTTTGCTTGCCTTGTGATATGGCTTGGCTCTGCGTTCCTACTCAGATCTCACCTTGACTTGTAATAATCCCCATGTGTCAAGGGCGGGACCAGGTGGAGATAATCGAATCATGGAGGTGGTTCCCCCATACTGTTTTCATGATAGTGTGTTCTCACCAGAGATCTGATGGTTTTATAAGGAGCAGAATTCCCCCTTTGGTCAGCTCTCATTCTTCTCCTTCCTGCTGCCATGTGAAGAAGGACATGTTTGTTTCCCCTTCTGCCATGATTGCAAGTTTCCTGAGGTCTCCCCAGCCCTGCAGAACTGTGAGTCAATTAAATCTCTTTCCTTTTTAAATTACCCAGTCTCAGGCAGTTCTTTATAGCGGTGTGAAAACGGACTAATACACCTTGCATCCAGCAAAAGGTAATTCTCAGAAAACTAACACACACCCCAGAAACCCTCAACCAATGGCAGTTAATAGCTCTCGGGTAGCAAGTATTATTACTAGCATATTTAGTGAACCTGAGGTATTTTGAGTATAAACAAGTGTTATAAGTAGAGGAAGGGATCCTACTAGTGTGTAAAATAAGAAGTATGAGCTTGGATTGAGGTGTTCTGGTTGGTTGCCTCAGTGGGTGATGATGATTAGGGTAGAAACTAATCGTTGTTGGGAGCTGGTGTATAACATACCTCTACCCCTTTGTTTCCCAGGTAAAATGATTCTGTGGTGCCCGTTCTAACCTGGCTCCCAGAGTTACTCAGTGGCCTTGAGCTTTGATGACTCCCAGGGGTAATTTTCCTGATAATGATCCTTTATGGGCTGCCTTCCCTTCCCAGTTTCCCTTCCCTATTCCACTCCTGGTATATCCTGGGATCACTTCCTAAATAAAATTCTACAGTTAAAACTTTATTTCAAATTGGAATGCTTCATACGTTGCTGGTGGGAATGTAAAATGGCGTAGCTGCTTTGGAGGATAGTTTGGCAGGTTCCCAAAATGTTAAATATGGAGCTACCATATGACCCAACATTTCCACTAGGTATCTATACCTGAAAGAATTGAAACATATGTCCGCACAAAAACTTGTACATAAATATTTATAGCAGCATAATCCATAATAGCAAGAAAGTGGAAACCACCCAAATGTCCATGAAATGGTGAATGAATAAGCTAAATGTGGTACATCCATACAATGGAATAGTATTCAGCCATAGAAAGGAATGAAGTACTAATACATGCTACAACATGGATGAACTTTGAAAACATTATGCTAGATGAATGAAGCTAGTCACAAAGGGCCACATATTGTATGATTCCATTGATATGAAAGTCCAGAATAGGGAAATCTATAGACACAACAACTATATTTGTGATTGCTAGGGGTCAGGGGAAGAGGAGAATGGGAATAACTGCTAATGTGTATGAGGTTTCTTTATAGGGTGATGAAAGTGTTCTAAAATTGTGATGGTTGCACAACTCTTAATATACTAAAAATCACCACATTATACACTTTGAAGGGGTAAATTATATGGTATGTGAGTTATATCTCAATAAAGCTTTTTAATTTTTTTAAAGCCCTTGTCTCAAGGTTCACTTCTTGGGAAACCTCAACTAGGATTCCCTAGAACCTAGAATTGTGCCTAGCACATAGTAAGTGTTTAATCAGTGTGGAAATACATGTTGAATGACTGAATATTGAACAACAGCAAACTCAGGTTTAATATGTCACATACACACAACTGCTAATAGAACCATACCTCCATTCCCACAAGCCAGGCCTTGACCACCACCTCATTCCCTACGGGAAACATTAAGTCCGGCAGGCATGTCTGTTGCAATTGTTAGCTTGTGAAAGGAGCAGAGTGGTGTGTATGTGTGTTAGTGAGATGGTGAGGGAGGGAAAGGGATGTGTGTGGTGTGTATGGGGTTGGGGGTGTGTGTGTGTGATGTGTGTGTAGTATGTGTGGTGTGAATGCTGTGTGTGTATATATGTGTAGTGTGTGTATATGTGTGCTGTGCGGTGTGTGTGTGTATGTGTACAGTGTGTGTATGTAGTATGTATGGTATATATATGGTGTGTGCTGTACATATGCATGTGTGTGTGTATATGTGTGTGGTGTATGTGTGGTGTGTGTGTGTATACGTGTAGTGTGTTTATATGTGTGTGGTATGGGGTTCCTGCAGCAGGTCACTGTCACTCTGCAGGGTGTCCCCACCCGCAGGGATTTGGCCGACATCTTCAGCTGTCCATTGGTTGGCCAGTCCCATCTTTTGGGGTTCAAAGGCTGAGAAGAGAAAATGGAGCCCGACCCTGAGCAGGTTTAGAGCAGAGGACACCCCTCACCCATGATCCAACATGCCAGACCCTTTCTCATCTGTTAGCAAGAAAGCCAGTCCTTGAGGGACTTAGATCACTCCCATCACCATTAGAATGGGCTTCCCAACATCTATGACTCAACATCCCCCTCAACTGAGTGAGACTGTCAGATCCCTGCCCCCATCCCCCACCCCTACCTGCTATGGCCTAGCTGAGCTCCAAGGATGAAGACCCCGCGGCCCCAGGTGTGCCTGCGAAGCTGTATGTGGGGTGAGGAGCACACTGGTGAGCAGGGTGTGAGCCCTGGGACTGTCACAGCCCCGTAAGGTTCAGAGCAGGCTCCTTCCCACCTTGGCCCGGGTCTCCTGGGAGTGTGGTGAGGCACAGGGCTGGCTGTCTGCTGACATTCTCAGTCCTTCCAGCAGGGTACATCCTCTGCCCTTCCCCCTGAGGGGTTAACCATCAGGACTGCCCCTCCTTCCTCAAACCCTGGCAGTTCCAGGGGTGCCCTCTGTCCCAGGCCTGGCCTGGCCAGCTGCCCCCTCCATTCTGCAGGGCCATGTGGATTCCCTCTAGCTGTCCCTGGTCCAGGCGCTCAGTGGCAGAACTGTAAATCCTCTAGGCTGGCTCCAGACTCTACCTGCCTGGGCACCTGCTTCGGAGGACGGGCCTGCCTTTCCCGCCCCCGGCAGATGGCCACTGCGCCTTGGGATCTGCAAGCAGGAAAAGCAGCACCAAGCATCCCCTGACTGGGCCTCCCTTGGTCCTGGCCCGCTTCCCTCACACCCCTCCCCAGGCAGCGTGCCCCTGCCCACCTGTGGGCAGCACTGGCTGTTGGCTCCAGCCCATTCCAGTGCTCATTCTGACGGTTAAGTCAGACGTCACTCCACAAATATTTTTGGCCTCCTTGCTCTGAGCCAGGCACTGTGCCAGGCCCTGGGGATACCAAGATGAATGAGGAAGCTAGAGGGTACTGCCCACAAGGACTCAGGAGAGCAGAGCAAGTAACACAGAACGCAATGTAGTAAAAGCAAGGGCATTGTTCATAAAACAGAGCTAATCACACGCAGGCACTGCTGTAAGCACTTTATGTACATTAGGTCATGTAGTTGCACAGCTCCATGGTGGAGGTCTCATTACAAATACGGAAGCTGAGGCTCAGAGAGGTGAGGACATTTGTCCAGGGCCACCCAACTACTACAGGGTCGAGGTAGGATTCAAACCCAGGCTGTCCAGCTGTCCAGCTCGAGCCTAGCTTTTATTTATTTATCTATTTATTTATTTGAGACTGAGTCTCACTCTATCACCCAGGCTGGAGTGCAGTGGTGCTATCTTGGCTCACTGCAACCTCCGCCTCCTGGGTTCAAGTGATTCTCGTGCCTTAGCCTCCAGAGTAGCTGGGATTACAGGCATGCACCACCACACCCGGCTAATTATTGTATTTTTCAGTAGAGGCAGGGTTTCTCCATGTTGGCCAGGCTGGTCTCAAACTCCTGACCTCAATTGATCTGCCTGTCAAGGCTAGCTTTTAAACAATGTTAGATTGCTTCCAGATGAACCCAGGAGGAAGAAGCTCAGAGGGCATCTCTGAGCTGCCTGGAGAGGTAGTGAGGGATCACCGGGCAGCTGGCTTTCTCTTCCCAGAGGCATTGAACTGATTTAAATATGGCTCTAAACACAGTGAGCTGGCAGGGGCCTTGGGGCCTCATGATATTAAGCCCTTAATGGTGTGAAGCCCTTCCAGGTACTAAAGGGCAGCAATGTTGGCCCTTGGCATGGGAGGGCAGGGAGGGAGGAGGGCCATGGTGCCAAGAATCTGTAACCACAAGACACCATGTCTCAAAAAAAAAAATTTTTTTTGAGACAGGGTCTTGCTCTGTTGCCCAGGCTGGAGTGCAGTGGCACAGTCTTGGCCCACTGCAGCCTCAAACTCCTGGGCTTAAGCT
Organism: Homo sapiens; assembly: GCF_000001405.40. Classification (NCBI taxonomy): domain Eukaryota; kingdom Metazoa; phylum Chordata; class Mammalia; order Primates; family Hominidae; genus Homo; species Homo sapiens. Next base: position 205,479,124 of record NC_000001.11, read on the forward strand.
GTCCTTCCACCTCAGCCTCCCGAGTAGCTGGGACTACAGGTGTGTGCCACCATGCCAGGCTAATTTTTTAATTTTTTGCAGAAGTGGGGTCTTGCTATGTTGCCCAGGCTGGTCTCGAACTCTGGGTTCAAGCAATCCTCCCACCTTACCCTCCCAAAGTGCTGGGATGACAGAAGTGAGCTACTCCTGGCTAAGACACCCTGTCTTTGGTGCCAATATCACCACATGAGCAGAGGGCAGTCCTGGGGGTCCCAATGAGGCCTCTCCACCATTTATTTTATTCATTCCATTATAGTCCATACTTGCTTGATCACCACACTTATTTCATTGCCTGTCTATCTCCTAAGTCTCCAAGTTCCCCCATGAGCCATCACACCTGGGCAGGGCATGAATGTTAACATGTATCCCCAGGACCATGGTGATGGGGAGGGGGGTGGGGTGGTGGGGGGTGGGGGGGCAGGGTGAAGCTTCATTCATAAGCACCCTCACTCCTCACTACAAACTCTCAGAGAGTTCTGAGAACTCTCCAGGAACAATGTTGCAACCATTCGTTCCACACATATTTATCAAGGGCCTCCTGTGTACCACGCAGGATTTAGGCACCAGGAACCCAGATCCGCCCTCAAGGACCTCTAGTGCAGCAGGGGAGACAGAGAAGAAAGCAGGCAGCCACGTGCTAGGGAGAGCCAAGCCACGGGGGAGACCAGTGGCTCTTGGGGGTGGACTGATGACTGCAGGGTGAAGTTATCCCTTTGAGGGGCCCAGACACTGAGCTGAGAAATGGCACAATTGCTAGAGAGAGAATTACAAGAAAAGCTGAGCTGTGGATACAAACGTGTGAGACAGAGAGGGGCAGGAGAAGAAGCCAGGCTGGCAGGGGTAGGGGGGTAATAATTCCAGTTCTAACTGCTTCTACACAGAAAAACTCATTCAATCCTCGCAACAAGTTTATGAGGCAGGTACTCTTAAAATACCGATTTCATAGGTGAGAAAACCATTGGCACAGAGAGGTTCAGTGACTTGCCTCGGACACACAGCTAGAAAGTAACAGGTAGGTTTTTTTTTTTTTTTTGAGACAGAGTCTTGCTCTGTCACCCAGGCTGGAGTGCAGTGGTGTGATCTCAGCTCTTGCAACTTCCACTTCCCGGGTTCAAGCTATTCTCCTGTCTCAGCCTCCAGAGTAGCTAGGATTACAGGCGTGCACCACCACACTGGGCTAATTTTTTGTATTTTTAGTAGAGGTGGAGTTTTACCAAGTTGGCCAGGCTGATCTCGAACTCCTGACCTCAAGTGATCTGCCTGCCTCGGCCTCCCAAAATGCAGGGATTACAGGTGTGAGCCACTGCGCCCAGCCACAGATAGGATTTGAACCCAGGAAATCCGGCTCCAGCATCTGTGCTTCTAACCACCATACTGCACGGCTGTGGCAAGCAGGAGTCAAACCATAGACATCCTTTTGGTCATACTAAGGAGCCTAAAATGCTCTCCCAGGGGATGCGGAGACCCTGGAAGTTTGAACGGGAAAGAGGGATGAGGCTGGAGGCCGCATGGAGGATGGGTTTCAGGGGTGAGGCGCGAGGGCAGCCAGGAGGCTGTTGCTGCAGCCAGGTGAGAAGAGGTCCAAGGCAGCGGTGGGAGAGGGCAGGATGAATTTGAGAAAAACCAAGAAGGTAAACTTGGCAAAATGTGTGACTGGCAGGAAATGAAAGCTTGTGAAGAGGGAGGTGTGAAGAGGGGCTTTCCGATCTCTGGCTGGGTGCTTGGGGGAGGGTGCGCCACCGGCCAGGCCACCGAACACAGGAGAAAGGCTGTCGGAGTGACGCTGAGTTGAGGTTGGGGTGTGTTGTCTTGGAAGTATTTGCGGGACGCCCAGGTGGAGGTGCACAGCAGTCAGTAGAACCCCACAGCCCTGCTGCTACACCAAACCCATCTTCTCCCCACCCACCCTGCCCCCTCCCCCAGCCCCATCTTCCTCACCCCCCTCCTCCCTCCATTCTAGAGCCACCAGACTCCTGGAAAGCCCCAGTGCTTCCTCTGGGTTCCCAAGTCCTTGCACCTGTGTGGCACCAGGGCCTCCTCCCTGAAGCAACAGTTCGCCTCCCGTGGAGTGGGCATCGCAGATCCGCTCCCATTTCCGGCCTGCCCTTAATGTCCTCAGATGCTGGGATGGGAGTTTTCTAGTCTGTTTTCCCCTGGCAGCAGTGGGGACTTGATCTCCCTCCACGTCGTGTGGCCACAGCCTGTGACTCCATCCCCGTTAAGTGAACCAACACCGAATTGAGGAAGATCCCGTGCCGACCTGCACACTGATCTGTTGCAAGTCTGCTCATCAGGGTTCCTAGAGGGCAGCCACCTGGGCTGTGGCAGGGAAAGAACTGGGTGTGTAGGGGAATCAGGAAGGGGGATTTGTGGCAGACAGAGCTTGGGATGAGATGGGACCCAGGGTGCCTGGGAGAGACCTCTCACCAGAGGTTAGGAATCTAGATGCTAACCCTGGCCCTGCTACTGTGCTGCTGTGTGACCTTGGGCATGTTACCCAACTGCATGCATCTCCTCTGTCATACTCAGGCTCAACAGCATAGCCTGGCAGCCGGACATGTGGGCTGTCGACCTCCCTGTGTCACCTTCCTGCAGGGCGGCCTCTCTGCCATCAGGAGAGGGGAAGCCCACAGAGCCACAGTGAGCAGTGCTGGAGGGGTGGGCGCTTGGCAGAAAGCCCAGCAAGGTGTTTTAGCAGCAACAGGACAATAGAGCGGCTTAGCACCGGGAGCTTATTCTGCTTATTTTCCCATCTGTGTGTCGGGACATGCCAGGGCTGGGTGTCTACATTTCGGTAAGCCTCTTGCTACAATAGCATTCTCAGCAGCTTCAGTCACTTAGACCACAGTGGTAATCCGCTCAGGAAGAGCCCAGCCCTCGCCGCAGCAGCCCGGGGGGCCGTATTTGGGGCAGGACGCCCGTCTGCCTCTGCAGCCACTCCTATTGCCTGCCTGCCTCTCTTTCCTTGTCCAGTGTGTCACCTTCAGATGCCCTACAGGCCCCCCAACAAGGGTGGGTCAGTGGGAGCACTGATGGGTCCCTCCCAGCTGAAGGGAATTAGGTTAGACATGAGGAAGAACTGTCCCAGTGTTGGGGTGGCAAGTAAAGAGGAAGGTGGTTTCTTTTTCCCTAAACAGTTTTAAAAATATTAGCTATTCTTCTATCTGAGGTACAGTCAGGTGAGTTTGGCCTGGGGGCAGGGAGATGGCCACTGAGCCCCTGGAAAGGAGTTGAGTGGGGCTGGGCTTGGGGGAGGGAGGGCTACAGCAAAGACATGGGTGAGGAGGAGCTCTGGAAATAGCTCCCCCAAGGGGAAACATCTCCCTTTCCTCCTTGAGGTAACTGATCAGACTGGGAGTTCTGAGTCCTGGCTGTAGGGGCTGCCAGATTCTAGAAGCCTCTCTGACCCCCAGGTTCCTTTTCTGTCACACAGTTTTTGAGTAACTATAAAACATCTCTGGGCTGGGTGCGGTGGCTCACGCTTGTAATCCTAGCACTTTGGGAGGCTAAGGCAGGAGGATCGCTTGAACCCAGGAGTTTGAGACCAGCCTGGGCAATATAGCAAGACCCCATCTCTACAAAAATTAAAAAAAATTAGTCAGGCATGGTGGTACATGTCTGTAGTCCCAGCTATTTGGGAGGCTGAGGTGGGAGGATCGCTTGAGCCCGGGACGTCGAGGCTACAGTGAGCCGCGATCAAACCACTACACTCCAGCCTGGGCAACAGAGCAAGACCCTGTTCTCCCTCACCGCTCCCCCTCAGAACCGCTCCCCCTCAGAAAAGTCTCTGATCTGACACTCTCAGCATTTGATACTATTCACCCCTTCTTCCATTTTGAAATGTTCTTCCTTAATTATTGAAAGCAATATTCTTCAGGCTCTCTTGCATCTTCCATAGGAATTAGGAATCTTCTATTTGCAGGAAACAGAAAAGCTCTCTACCTAACAGGCTAAAAAATACAGGACATCTATTCATTCACAAATGGTTCCAGCAAGGACTGATGGAGCAACGCAGGGATGTCACATAGGGCTAGTTCTTTCTTTCTGCCCCTCTGTCTTCCTCAGCCTCATGCTCCCTCCCAGGCTGCTGCTCTTGGTGCCACCTGCCTCTTCCTTCACACAGTGATAGAAAGAGCTTCTTGTCCCAGGGTGTCATTCAAAAGCCCTGTAAGTCTCTGGTTGGCAAGACTTAGGAGACATGTCCCCCTCGAATCAATCATGATACCATGTGCTCCACTCCACAGCCAGAGATCCCTTCTGTCCCCAGAGTTGCCAGGATCTTCCAAATGAAAATAGGAGCTGCTGAGGTGGAGAAGGGGACTGGCCACTGGGGAGACCTCAACACATACCCTTGCCCTGACCCCTCCCACCTCTAGTTCTCTTCCTGCTGGCCTCAGCCTCCCTCTCCACACTGGCTCCCCCTGCATCCAGAGTCCCTCCCCGGCTGCAAGACCATGCCCCTGTGGCTGATTCCCTCCTTATCCACACTGAAGCCCTGACTGTCTTCCAACATCCTGTCCTGTATCTTGATCTGTTCACGAAGCATTTCTACTTGATGTCCTCAAATTAACCCTCATATAAAAAGAACTAATGATCCTTTCCCTGACATCACACGCCCGTCCCCCGACACACACACACACACACACACACACACACACACACACACACACACATTGCTTGACTCTCCAGTTATTCCCATGTTGGGCTGGTCCTTCTCCTTTACCCCCAACATCACATCCTGCAGGACATCCTGGCAGTTCTCCGTTGCGTCTACAGTTAGTTACCTTAAGCCTGGGCCACAGAAACATACTCCCCTAGTCTACAAAAATTAAAAGAAAAATTAGTCTACTCTTCAGTCCCAGACATGCTCCCAGTCTCCTCCTCACTTGGATGTCAGCCTTCCTGAAATGCCACTGCTTCCTGTCCCCCCTCCCTCAAACACCTTCAATGACTCCCCGTCTCTCACATGACCAAATTGACCTCCCTTCGCCTGGCATTTGAAGCTCTCTGAGAACCAGCCTGCTCTAACTTGATGGGCTTCGCTCTGCCGTCTGGTACAGATGTCTGTCTGGTTCACCATATACCTAGAAAGACCCTGAGCGTTCCTGCCTCTTCACTCCCCTGTAGCTTCCCAAAGGTCCCCATGCTCCTGGCAGCCTTCCCTGACCACCACAGCCCCACAATCTCTCTGTCACTGTCTGGGTCAGTTGCCTGGCCCTCAGAGTCACTGCCCAGCCTCCCATTTTTGTGTGTGTAGAACTGTCTGCCTTTGTATTCCCAACTGCATCCAAAGCCCCTTGAGATAAGAGTCGCTGTCCTCAAATGCCCTGGGGGAGCCTGTTCTTGGTAGAAATGAGCTCCTGTGCATGGAAGCACCTTGCACCATTCTGAGTTCTGAGAGGGCAGAAAGGGTGGTTTGGTGTTTTACCAGGGAGGAGGTCAGGAGCAGGACCATTGAAAGAAACTGCAGACATTAGAGCCTCCTCAGGGAGGGTGCGGTTGTTAAGGGCAGCCTGCTTACAGGAGAGAGCCACAACCTGGCATCAGAAGACACCAGCTATGACCAGGCATGGTGGCTCACGCCTGTAACCCCACCACTTTGGGAGGCTGAGGCGGGCGGATCACCTGAGGTCCGGAGTTCCAGACCAACCTGACCAACATGGAGGAACCCAATTGCTACTAAAAATATAAAATTAGCCGTGTGTGGTGGCGCATGCCTGTAATCCCAGCTACTCGGGAGGCTGAGGCAGGAGAATCACTTGAACCCGGGAGGCGGAGGTTGCAGTGAGCCGAGATCAGGCCATTGCACTCCAGCCTGGGCAACAAAAGTGAAACTATGTCTCAAAAAAAAAAAAAAAAAAAAAGGAAGAAGAAGGAGAAGAAGAAGGAGGAAGAGGAGGAGAAGGAGAAGGAGCAGGAGAGGGAGGAGAAGAAGGAGAAGAAGAAGAAGGAGGAGGAGGAGAAGGAGAAGAAGAAGGAGGAGGAGAAGGAGAAGGAGAGGGAGAAGAAGGAGAAGAAGGAGAAGAAGGAGGAGGAGGAGGAGGAGGAGGAGGAGGAGGAGAAGACACCAGCTACGATCCCAGCCACCCTGCTCACCCGCCGTGGGATCTTGGAGAAGTCACTTAGCCTCTCTGAGCTTTGGTTTCCTCACCTCGATGAAGGGGTATCATGTTACCTGCTCTGCCTGCATCCCTGGGCTGTTGGAGGAGCACATAAGGCAATGTGCATGGAAGGGCTTTGCAAAACTCTGCAAATAGACTGGCCAAGGAGTGTGTATCCAGTGGCCTGGCCTCAGTCTGGCCTGCCAGTGGGAGAGGCGAAAGGGCAAGAAGGAAGCCTGGCCCGCCCCCAGCGGGAGGCTGTGCACCCGTCTGGCCCTCAGCAGGCCATGGGGAGAACAGAAGCTGATCAAAGGCCAGGGTTGTAAACAGCAGGGGAGGGCACCTCTCCCCAGGAAGGGGGACCTGCGGACCAGCTCCATCTGACACCCTCCTGGCCGCCAGCAGGGACTTCCTGCCCTCTAGTGGACATAGTTAGGAGGTGCACCCACTTCTGAAGCCTGCGGGCTTCAGAAGCTGGCTGCGGGCTGCCTGGCCTAACAGCAGCAAGATCTACAGATTGCAGAACGCCATCTGGCACCAACAACTGTGGCATGAACTTTGTTATCTTTTGGAATTCTCAACAACCTTTCAAGGTTTGCATTATTATTCTCATCTTACAGAGGTGGATCCTAAGGCTTAGAGGGTATGGAATCACTCAAAGCCATAATGTTGGGGCTGGGCTTCCTCTCCACACCAGAGTGTGTGTGGAGTGGGGGTCTGAGTCCCTCTAGGCCAGGTCTCATGGAGCCGGGGGTGTGGAGGATGTGGGCTCATTGTCAAGAAAGCCAGGCACGGTGGCTGATGCCTATAATCCCAGCACTTTGAGAGGCGAGGCCGAGGCAGGAGGATCGCTTATGCCCAGGAGTTCGAGACCAGCCTGGGCAACATAGTGAGGCCCCATCTCAAAATAAAAAAAAAAGAGAAAAAAGAAAGAAAGAAAAGAAAATCAGGACAGCTGGTGTTCTGACAAAGGCCTCCTGAAAACCCACCCCCTTCCCCTCTGTCTCTGTCTGCAGCTTGAACTTCCCTTCCAACATGGGGGCCAAACCTGTGGCCCATGACCCTTATCCTCTGAGGTAGGGTTGGCAAGCTTTTCTGTAAAGGGTGGGATAATAAACATTTTAAGCTTTGTGGGCCCTGTGGTTTCTGTTGCAGCTACTCAACTCTGCCGTTGTAGCAGGAAGCAGTCACAGACAATGCATAAGTGAATGAGCACGGCAGCGTTCCAATAAAACTTTATTTATAGACACTAGAATTCCAGTTTTTATAAATTGTCATGTGTCATGAAAGATTGTTTTTCTTTTTGGATTTTTTTTTCAGCCGTGTAAGAAAGTAAAAACCATTCTTAGCTTTCAGGCGGTCCAAAAACAGAGGCAGGCAGTGATTTCCCGATCCCTGCCCTAAGATGCAGGAGTCCATCTCTGAAGTATTGATACTTCAGCTCCTCTCGTGTGACTGTTTCAAGTCCCTTTCCCTTGTTCCATTTCTTCTTCCAGTGCCCTCTGTGATGCCAGAACCCAAGGTCCTGCCCTCAACTCTCTGTCCTCCCTTCCAGGGGACTTTTCATTCCATTGTCACAGTCGGCCGCAGGAAGTGCCAGCACATGCCCCTTTGCCCTCACTCCTCAGCCACAAAGACTTTTCCGACCACCGACGGTCACCCATCCTTCAGCTTGCCTCACACCTCACCTCAACATCTGTGTGTTTTAAGAGCCATTTGCTCTTAAAACAGTGGCTCACACCTGTAACCCCAACACTTTGGGAGGCCAAGGCAGGTGGATCACCTGAGGTCAGGAGTTCAAGACCAGCCTGGCCAACATGGCGAAACCCCATCTCTACTAAAAATACAAAAAAAAATTAGCCAGGCCTGGTGGTGGACGCCTGTAACGCCAGCTACTTGGGAGGCTGAGGCATGAGAATCGCTTGAACCTGGGAGGCGGAGGTTGCAGTGAGCCAGGGTTGTGCCATTGCACTCCAGCCTGGGTAACAGAGTGAGACTCTGTCTCAGAAAAAAAAAAAAGAAAGAAAAAAAGAGCTATTTGCCTTCTGCAAACCCGCAGAACAGACATGGCACGCTAGAGAAAGCAGACTTGTTTTGCCACCGCTCTAACTTGGATCTAAATCCTGACTCTCCCACCAGCCAGCATGTGATCTTTATCCTTTCCCTCTCTGGGCACTCATTGTGTCCATGTTTCATGCTAGTGTTGGAGAAGCAGTGTGGTGCTGTGATGTGAGCACTGAGTAAGTATCCAGGTGCCCCGGGGTCTGGTTCCAGCTCTGCGTTTTGTAGCCCTGTGACTTGAGGGAAGTTACAGGTACTGGAGGGCTCGAGCCATTTGCATTTGCATCAGGATAGACCTGGATCTCTAAAGAGATCAACATTTGGGGCCTGGCACAGTGGCTCATGCCTGTAAACCCAGCACGTTGGGAGGCCGAGGCAGGTGGATCCATTGAGGTCAGGAGTTTGAGACTAGCCTGGCCAACATGGTGAAACCCTGTATCTACTAAAAAATACAAAAATTAGCCGGGCGTGGTGGCACGCACCTGTAACCCCAGCTACTTGGGAGGCTGAGGCACAAGAATCACTCGAACCTGGGAGGTGGATGTTGCAGTGAGCCGAGATCGCACCACTGCACTTCAACCTGGGCAACAGAGCGAGACTCTTAAAAACAGAGAGAGATAAACATTTGGGAATCAACAGAGTATAGATCAGGGTTATCCAATCTTTTTGCTTCCCTGGGCTACATTGGAAGAAGAACTGTCTTGGGCTACATAGAAAATATACTAACAATAGCTGATGAGGTTTTAAAAATCTCATAATGTTTTAAGAAAGCCTATGAATTTGTATTAGGCCACATTCAAAGCCATCCTGGGCCACATGCAGCCCACCGGCTGCAGGCTGGACTAGCTTGCTATAGGTGGTCACGTAGCTGTGGCGAGGATGTCATCATCCAGAGAGAAGTTGAGTACCAGGGACAGAGTCCTGAAATACGCACACAGGGTCAGTCTTAACCTTTGGTGGCCAGGAGGTGGCAGTATATGCCACTAAGGGGTGTTCTGAGGGGCAGGAAAGGGGCACTCAGGAGAGAGAAGCAGATCTCCCAAACTTCAGATTTACTTCCTAGTTGGGCAGTGGTGCCTGGCACCTAGGTGGTGTGGGGAGTGAGGGATGAGGTAGATGGAGATGAATCAGACGGAAGTAGAACTATGTGTAGCTTTCAACTAAAAACTCACTGGAGGCTAGGCTCTGCGGCTCGCACCTGTAATCCCAGCAATTTGGGAGGCTGAGATGGGCAGACCGCCTGAGTCTAGGTGTTCAAGACCTGCCTGAGCGACATGGTGAGACCATGTCTCTACAAAATTTTTTTTTTAAATTAGCCAGGTGTGGTGGTGTGCACCTGTGTTCCCAGCTACTTGGGACTTGGGAGGCTGAGGCAGGAGGATCACTTGAGCCCAGGAGGGTGAGGTTGCAGTGAGCCGTGTTCATACCACTGCACTCCAGCCTGGGCAACAGAACAAGATCTCCTGTCTCCAAACAAAAGCAAAAACAAAAACCTCACTGGATGGGGATCAAGATGTTACATTGCGAGAAGCACTTAACTAGGAGCCCAAAGGGTAGGGTATCTAGGTTCAAATCCCAGTTCTACTGTTTACTAGCTGTGTAGGCTTGGGCAATCTATCTAACCTGTCTGTGTTTCCATTTCTTTGACTATAAAATAGGGGTAATGATAGTATCTATCTCCAACGGTTGTGTGAATATTAGATTAGTTGATATAAGAAAAGTTTTTAGAACAGCACTTGGCACATATAATGTGCTTATAAATACTAGCTACTAATATTATTATCTTTTAAATCATCCCTGAATGGGAAACCCTCCAAGTCCCTCTTTCCTATGAAGAGGCCCCAAGATCTAAGTCTGGGACTCAGAAAGGTACCAGTCACGTAAGATCAGCTGTTGGGAGAAGGGTCCTGGCAGACACGTACCACACCATGCCATTCCAGGAACCTCAGACTTCAGAGGCCATGCCAATGGAAGGGTAGGGTCAGAGCCACATACCTCCTTACCTTGATGTTCTTTTTACCTGACTAGGGTTTAACACCTCAGTGTCCAGGAGGAACTGGATCTAGAATAAATCTAAATGTGTGTATGTGTGTGTGTGTGTGTGTGTGTGTGTGTGTGGTGCAGGTGGACAGGGGTGAAGTCTCTCTTCTTCCCTCACCCCTCCAGTTTGTCCCTGATCCTGAAGTCAAATGGTGAAGTGGAAAGACCCCTGGGCTGGGCATTAGGTTACCCATGTTCCAGTCCTGGCTCTGTGACTTTGGGCAACTTACTTTCCCTCTCTGACCTCAATTTCTCAAAGGTCTCTTCTAGCTGAGATATTTCATAATCTTTGAGTCAGCCTATGATTCTCCTCCCCAAGTCCTGCAGCTGCACCTCAGCCTCCTCTTCCACTGTCCTCTCCCTCATCACCACCCCCCAACTCCAGTGTCCTTGCAAAAGGCTGCTAGACCTAGAAATGGCTTAAATCGTCTTTTGAGAGACAGAGAGAGAAAGAAAGAGAAGACAGACAGCCTCCCGATTTTCATTTCCCCTATAGCGATGCTTCTCAGGGGTCAGTGGATGGGTCAAAACTGCCAATTTAGCAAACGCCTGGGCCCCTGGGAATAGGAGTCTGAGAACAGGTAAGGGGCAGGCACTGTGGAGGTCAGATGTTTCCACGCAGGCTGTAGTGGAGGGAGGTGGTGGGCTGAGCTCCAGCTCCTGGAACGCCTCCCAAGGTGATCATTTCCTGACATTGCTGCTCAGAGCTCTGTGTCTGCCCCGGCCTACAGCCCTCACCCTAGTGGGCGGGGAGGGGCCACAGCACACTGCTGGGCCCCGGTGGAAGATGTGAGTCCCTGGGAGCTGGGGGCCTCCAACCTTGTGAGGCATTTAGTATCTTGCTGTTGGGCTGGTGGCATCAGGGAGACCACCCTTCATTGCCAGAAACCAGGGCTCAAGATTCTCCCTCAAAAGTCCCTCTCCTCAGAACAAGCAGGGGTATGATCTGCTTTCATCTCCCTGGAGGTGCTGGGGGCCGAAGGAGAGTTGTGGTTCTGTCTGGCTCACTCTGATTTCTTATAAGCAACAGCTAGATGCACGGAGGATAAGCAGAGAAGCATTTCCTGGGCAGACAAAATCACGAAATGATGAAATGGTGGCTTGTTTCATAGTGTGGGTCACAGGTAGTCCTTTCTGGATTCAAGGAACTAAACCCACACCAATAACCCAGATGGGCTAGATAATTTGCAGGATCTGATGCAAAATGAAAATGCAAGGCTCCTTGTTGAAAAAGTATTAAGAATTTAAACAAGAGAACAATAAAGCATTAAAACAAGCAGGAGGCCCTCTGAGTGTGGGGCCCTTCTGAGAACAGGACCTGATAGACTGCATGATGCGTGCCCATGGAAGCCAGCCCTGCAGAGAACTATCATTTCTTAAGCACCTACTATGTGCCAAGTTTTTTATTTAATTAAATTAATTAATGAATTTATTTTTTGAGACAGAATCTCACTCCGTCACCCAGGCTGGAGTTCAGTGGCACAATCACGGCTCACTGCAGACTTGACCTCCGCGGTTCAAGTGATCCTCCCACCTCAGCCTCCCATGTAGCTGGGACTACAGACACGTGTCATCATGCCTGGCTAATTTTTAAATTTTTTGTAGGGACAGAGTCTCACCATGTTGCCCAGACTGGTCCTGAATTCCTGGGCTCAAGTGATCCTCCCCATTCAGCTTCCCAAATTGCTGGGATTACAGGCGTGAGCCACCACATGTGGTCCGTGCCAGATGTTTTATATGCATTATCTCATTTAATTATGAAACAACCTTAGATGAAGGCGTGACGAGGTTCTCTTTGTGGATGGCTTGCCCAAGGTCACATCTGCTCATGAGTAGCATCGGAATCCAGAGTCTTCCGAGTTCAGAGCCTATGTCCTCTCTTGAGCGGCGCTGCCTCTGATTCAGAGTCTTTGGGGGCTGCCAGGAAGCAGGCATGCACCAGAGGATGGGCACACTGAGGTGTGGCAGAGACACCCTCCCGAGTTTGACTTGCCCCGTGCTAGGCTGCTGGCATCCCTCCCTGGGTCTGGAATCTCCCTGGGTCTGGAGCTGTTACAAAAGGCACACATGCTTGGGACTCATACCTGGATGCTCTGCCTCACACTGAGTGACTAGGAAAGTCACATAACCTCTGTGAGCCTCAGTTTGCTCATCTGTAAAACTGGCTAACAACAGTGACTTCGTGTTGTCCTGAAGATTCACTGTAGTCTGGTATATAAGGTGCCTGACACACAGTAGGTGCATAGCAAAGCCCGTTCTCCTCAGGACAGCACACCACTGCCCCCTCCCTGCCCCCACCCTCTCTCCTCAGCAAGCCCCACCCCACCTGGGCCTGCTGCTTTTGAAGCACCCCAAATTCACTGTCCCTAGGGCTTCTCCCCGAGGCCGCACTGGTAAGGGAGAGCTCCTGGCTGCCTCTCCCTGAAATCACACTTTGAGTTCCAAGATTCATTGCTAATCACACCAGGGAGAATTCCATTACAATGCCAAGGGTGGGGAAATCACCAACTTTCTGGATTCACCAGATTTCTGGAGTGGCCGTGGCCTGACTCCTTTCTGAGGCGGCAGCCCCAGCCCTGGTACTCATGGACCACCTGCTTCCATTCCTCACTGAGGGTCTCACTCCAGTCCCCAGTCTTTCCTCTTCCCCATCCCCTTTCAGGGAAACCTGCAGGCATCCTGCAGGCTGCCCCTTCCTGCAGGACAGCCTCCTTTCCCTGCAAGCCCCCCGCTGGGGAGGCTCCTTGTCCTCTCAAGCTGGTGGTCTGGGTTTCTCACCTCCCGGCTGAGGTTCCTCATCTACTTGGCTTCACCCCTCTCAGGGACAGTTCCCTGGGGACAAAGCTCCCTTCCAGTCCCCTCCCCAGCCCATGTCAGGAAGAGGAGGCAGATGGTTAGGTGGGGAATACCTAAGGTCTGAGAAAGCCTCTGGCACCAGAGAAAATAGCAAACCCTCCCCTCCCTTCCCCCAGACCCAGCCAACTGCAGTTCCAGGCTGCCTGGAGTGACACCTGCCCCTTTGCCCTCTTTCCAGGAGTAAATATTGGATCAGGTTCAGTCACCAGCTGTTTGACTAAGAGCAAAGTCAGTTGTGGGATCATGAATGGCTGGGATCCTAGGGAAGACATGCTGAGAAATATCAGTGCCCCGGGGGACCCACGGGAGAGCTCCTGGAGCAAATAGTAGGCCTGGGGAAGTACAGATTCCAGCTGACAAATCCCTTTGTTTCCCTGGCTACACCAGGTACTGCCAGATACCAACCTGCAGAGCTAGGCTGGCCCCTGGAGGAGCTGGCCCCCTGGAGTATGTCTTTCTTGCCAGGACATTTGGCATAATGGTCTGATTTGGAGGCAGCTTGATATATTCAGGTATTGTACCAGGTAAACTTGCCAGGTACCACTGCCTGGCCACTCAGATAGTGGCACCTGGTAGTAACTGACACACTCAGGTGCATTTTGGTTGGATATACCTGTTCATGTGGGTGTGGGCCCCTGAGTCTCGCTGATCATTCAGGGGTGTCTGAGCTGAACAGGCCTGATAACTGCCCTATCACTCAGCTTGCATTCCCGGGAGGCCCTGGTAACTGGAACCATTCTGGTCCCGGGGCTCAGCCGAGAGGAAAAGGAAGTGCGAGTCTAAACCCCAGGCTCTTCCTCACTGGTCCCGATGTGGTTCCCACCTTACGCCTGTCCAGACTGTTCCCAGGTCCTGACCCCTCCCTGTTCTGCCAGGCCCCACTCTTATCCCTGGGGCCACACCTGGCTGCTCTGTGGGTCCCAGCCCCTCCCAGGCTTCAGGGAAAGGGGAAGCTGGTCTGGGAGGAAATTAGGGAAATTAGCTGCAACTCCAGGAAACAACATCCCCAGGACTGGGCTAAGGACTCCGTGCTGGTCCCGCAGGCAAGGGAACTTGGTGCCTCCAGGCTGAGGTTGGGGCATGACAGCTGTCTCTCCTCAGTCTTGGGCACAGGTCCCAAGCCTGGCCAAGGGCTGCTTCTCAAACTGAGCTTCTGAGTGAGGAGTGGGAGGAACACAGCCTGCCCGGGCATTTCTCTGGGCTGTGCTAACCTCAGAGGACAACACTCTGAGTCACCACCACAAGTCTGTCCTCACCCCTGCCCCTAGGATGGAGGGAGGCAAAGAGTGAGCGGTGGAGGCAAGATCTGGGGCCAAAAAATCACAGTGTTGGCCTGGGGCCAATTGGAGCCAGAAGAACCACCAGGGGAGAAGGGCAGGGGCTGGGGGAATTTCTATGCACTTTTCTGATGCTGTCAGCAGAGTTAGTTCCCTGGGCTCTAGCTGAATGCTGGCACCAATGCAGTGGCTCAGTTTTAACATAAAATGCCATGCAAATGTCTGCCAAATAGCATCCACATCTTCTACCCATGCCCTGGTTTCAGAGGCTCTGGCCTCTGGGTCCCCTGTCTCTGTCTCCAGTAAACTCGCCTGCTTGCACGATTTTCTCTCAGGCTCTGTCCTTCCCTATCAAGATCCAGCGGCTGGAGCTGGAGCCTGGCGTCATCCTGGCCCAAGCTGCCCAGGCGGGACGACCAGAGAACTCAGAGGTGGGGATGCAGGTGGGGATGCTCCCCTCCCCAGGCGCCAGGCAGCTGCCCTCTCTCCTCTGCTTCTGCTCCCATCCTGGCTGTCCCTGGACAGCAGCAGTTGGGTGGGATTCAGAAGCCTGGAGCATTTTCTCCATCCTCCCTGGTGGTCACAGTTGGCAGGAGACAAGTGGGCAAGCAGGGCAGGCTAATCATTTGTCACTGCTTCATGGGGACATCTTTTAAATATTTGTTCAAAATAGGTTTAAAAGAGATGCCAAGGGCTTTGTGAGGTGGGCAGAGAAGAACTGCGGGGGCCAGCCTTGGTCCCTCTCCCCTCCCCAATCTGGTCTGTGTTCCTCACCCAGCAAGCAAGAGCCCTGCTGTGCAGCCAGTCCCACCAGCTTGTCATTAGAGAAGTCACCACTGTGAGGGGCTCACTTACAGCTTACACACTTGTCAAACAATTTCTTTTTTCCTTTCCTTTTCTTTTTTTAGAGACGGGGTCTTATTCTGTCACCCGGACTGGAGTGCAGTGGTGCGATCACAGCTTTCTGTACCCTTGACCTCCTGGGCTCAGGTAATCTTCCCACCTCAGCCACCCCAGCAGCTGGGACCACAGGAACATGCCACCATGCCTGGCTAATTTTTTTTTTCTTTTGAGTCAGGGTCTCGCTCTGTCACCCAGGCTGGAGTGCAGCGGTGTGATCTCAGCACACTGCAACCTCAGCATCCCGGGTTCAAGCAATTCTCCTGCCTCAGCCTCCCAAGTAGCTGGGATTATTGGCTTGTGCCACCATGCCTGGCTAAGTTTTGTATTTTTAGTATAGATGGGGTTCTGCCACATTGGCCAGGCTGGTCTCGAACTCCTGGCCTCAAGCGATCCGCCCGCCTCAGCCTCCCAAAAGCTGGGATTACAGGTGTGAGCCACTACACCGGCCTATTTTTTTTTTAACTTTTGGTAGAAACAGGGGTGGGGGGGCTGGCAGGGAGGCAGTGGGGGAGGGACACTATGTCTCACTATGTTGCCCAGGCTGATCACAAACTCCTGGACTCAAGCAATCCTCCTGCCTCAGTCTCCCAAAGTGCTGGGATTAGAGGCACGAGCCACGGCACCCGGCCCCAAACAATTTCTCCAACCACACATCTTGATACTTTCCAAGGGCATTCTGTGCACCTGCCAGCTGGCCACTCCTTAACCCAGTTCTGGCTACAAGGCCCTTTGGGGTCCACCTTGTCTAGCAACCTGACAGTGCCCCAGCATGCATCTCATCAGCCCTTGTCTGGCTCCAAACCAATGGAGTCTATGTGGGTGTGCTCAGATGTGGGCAGTGGAGTGAGTAGATGTTCTCAGACAATCCCCCTCTTTCTAGGACCTCATTTCCTAAAGTTGAACCTCAGAATCTCCTGCAGAAGCCAACGTGGCCCATTTTCTCTCTTGGTCTCAGGCGTTCAGGTAGGAAGAAGGTGGGACTCCCTCCTCTCATTCCGTGCCCTTTCACTTCCTGTCCCAAATCCCCTCCCAAGGTCATGGGAGAGCCCTGGGCTGACTGCTCACAGCTCACTCCTAGAAGCAAGGCCTCACCTTGGCTCTGTCCCTCCCCCACTGCCTCTCTGTCCCCCACAGGAGGGGCGGCGGGTGCCTCCACGAGGTTGGGATTTTGTGTTTAATTATGGAGCAGGAACTTGGCAATGAGGCAGCTCCCAGCAGGGTGTGCAGTGTCTCTCGGCACCCTGGCTAATGAGATAGTGTGGAGCCAGCTGACAGAGGCAGGCTGTGTAATTTACGAGTGCCTAATTGCTGTGGAGGCTATTGCTTTTAATGTGATCCAGAGCAAAGGCCTTCTTTTCTTTTCTTTTTCTTTTAAAATCCATTCCCCTGGGGGAAGCGGAGTTCTGGTTTCTCTCCTAACATGTGTTTTAACCTGGACATGCTATTCAGTGGCACTGGGGACAGTCCATTCAAATGGTCTTTCCTCCTGAGTGGCTGTTTAGAACAGGGTCCTGAGCTACTTGGGGGTTGGGAGATGCAGAGGGGAAGTTCAAGGTGCCTCAAGTGCACCTCAGACTAACTCCCCTTAGCACTGTCCCAGTGGGACGCCACGTTCAGCACGCAGGTTGCTCACTCACTGGACCAGTGGCTCTTGGAACCTTTTGAGAATTTCACAAAAGTTCCTTTCTCTCAAAAAGAACAATAGCTAGTGTTAATTGTCCTCTTAGTATGTTCCAAGATCTATGTTAAATTTATATACCTATCCCATCTAACCCTCATCATGGCCCTATGAGAAGGGTGCTATATTACCCCCATTTTACAGATGAGGAAATAGAGGTACAGAGTGCCAAATAATTTGCTCATATCACATATATAGGACTTGAATATGGCAGATTGATTCCACTTGAACATGTTAATTTGTAGAGATTCTCTCTCTCTCTCTCTCTCTCTTTCTCTCTCTCTCTCTCTCTCTCTCTCTCTCTCTCTCTCTCTCGACAGGGTCTTGCTTTGTCCCCCAGGCTGGAGTGCAGAGGCACGATCTCAGCTCACTGCAACCTCCGCCTCCCAGCTTCAAGTGATTCTCCCAACTCAGCCTCCTGAGTACCTGGGACTACAGGCATGCACCACTATGCTGGGCTAATTTTTGCATTTTTTTGTAGAGATAGGGTGTCACCATGTTGGCCAGGCTGGTCTCGAACTCCTGATCTCAAGCGATCCACCTGCCTCTGCCTCCCAAAGTGCTGGTATTACAGGCATAAGCCACTGCACCCAGCTGAGATTCTCTCTTTAGAAACATACAGTCTCTGCTTCTCTATCTCACATAACACACACATACACACTCACAATGTTAGCATATAATGTTATGGGTTTTCAGACTCACTAAAGCCCTGCAAGGACCCTCTTCTGCTGCTCAGGGATATAAAACTCCCCTATTTAGGAGGCTGGAATCCAGACTGTGAGGTGCCTGAGGGCAGGAAGTATGGCAGTCACCACAACTACTGAATTCAAACACCACTTAATTAGTGTTTACTGAAGGAAGGAAAGGGGAAAGAGAGGGAAAGAAGGGAGGCAGTGAGGATGGGCATGATCCCTGCCTTCAAGAAGTTCAGAGGTCTGGCGGCAAGGTGCTCATGCCTGTAATCCTAGCACTTTGGGAGGCCAAGGCAGGTGGATCACCTGAGGTCAGAAGTTCAAGACCAGCTTGGGCAACATGGTGAAACCCCATCTCTACTAAAAATACAAAAATTAGCTGGGTGTGGTGGTGGGTGCCTATAATCCCAGCTACTTGGGAGGCCAAGACACAAGAATTGCTTGAACCCAGGAGACAGAGGTTGCAGCGAGCTGAGATCACGCCACTGCACTCCAGCCTGAGCAACAGAGCAAGACAAAAGTTCAGAATCGAATTAGTCAGACAATCTATTAATATGCAAAGACAAATGAGACTTGTAAATAAGTTCAAAAGAAGAGAAGAGCCATCCCCAGTCCAAGCAGGATCCATTGTGCCAACTGGATAAAACCCCTGAATACTTACTGCAGGAAGTCAGACAACGGAGAACCGCTGGTCCAGTGGGGATTGGGGTGGTGCGGGACTAGTTGGGCAACCCAGGTGGTGGGCTTGGAGCCTTTCAAGAAGAATTCATTAAGGGTGTACACAGTGTTCCTGACGGCAGCTGTGTTTGCTTTCTCTCCAGGGAGGGGGTTGGCAGTGGGCAGGAGGGAAGGGCCAGGAGACCGGCACGGTCCTTAGCTCCTGCCTCCTTTCAGCTCAGCCAAACAGCTCAGCAGCCACCAATTCTCCCAGTCTCCCTCTCCCGCCTTCCATTCATCCCTCAGCCCACCATTCAGGCCTCTGCCCTACTCCCATCTCCAGAATTGCCCTTGTTAAAGTCACCAATCTAGGGCTACCAACCATCTCTGTCTGCCCAGGACTTTCAATGCTAGAACTGGGAGAATCCCAGGCAAACTGGGCCTATGGCCACCCTACCAATGGCTTCCTAGTTGCCAAATTCAATGATGTCTTTCAGTCTTGCTCTGTGGGCACCTCCTGACTCCCCTTTCCTTTCCAACACCTCTCTTCCCCTTGCTCCTGTCCTAACTTCTGGTCTGCTTGTTCTCTTCTTCCTTCATCAGCTTTGCTTCCTCTGCCAATTCAGTTCTGCTGTGTCGGTTCTGTAGACCAGTGGCGCCTAACCTTTTTGGCGCCAGGGACCAGTTTCATGGAAAACGGTTTTTTTCACCGACCAGGCAGGGAGATGGTTTCAGGATGATTAAAGCGCATTACATTTAGTGTGCACTCTATTTCTATTATTATTACCTTGTAATATACAATGAAATAATTATACAACTCACCATCATGTAGAATCAATGGGAGCCCTGAGCTTGTTTTCCCGTAACTAGATGGTCCCATCTGGGGGTGATGGGAGACAGTGACAGATCATCAGGCATTAGATTCTCATAAGGAGCATGCAACGTAGATCCCTCACATGTGCAGTTCACAACAGGCTTCGTGCTCCTATGAGAATCTAATGCTGCCACTGATATGATAGAAGGCAGAGCTCAGGTGGGAATGTGAGTGACTGGGAGCGGCTGTAAATACAGATGAAGCTTTGCTTGCTTGCCTGCTGCTCACCTCCTGCTGTGTGGCCCAGTTCCTAACAGGCAGCCAGGAGTTGGGGACCCCTGTCCTAGACCCCGGTGAGCACCTGATATATACTAGTCCTGGGCATACAAAGGCTAAAGATGTAGTCTCTGGCCACGGGAAGCTCTCAGCCCAGTAAAGGAGGAAGACATGGAGCCCCCAAGCACTGGGAGGCACACAGTGAGAGAAGTATGTCGAACAGACAGGCTTCCGACTGGGGAGTGGTCAAGCCTGTGTAGACAACACTGAACCTGTGTGTGTCAAGGAGGCAGTGACTCTTGAGCTGGATTTTGAAGAATGAATAGGAGTTTACTAGGTAAGTGGTGAAGGAGGGAACCTCTCCTATAGATGGGAACATGTGCCAAGGCATGAAGCAGTGAAACATAGTGGTGTGTACAAGAGAAGTACTCATAGTTTGATGTGGCTGGACACAACAAGAGAGGGAGAAAATCAGGATGAGCTGACGAGGGAGGCAGGGGATCCATATGCCATAAGGGAGTCTGTGAATGAGCACAAGGAGGCCCATAGCTCATGAAAATGAACAGAAAATGTTGTGCATATGTGTTTTGATTCCTCAGATTTCATCAGATTCTGAAAGAGGGGTTGGGGACTCAAAGGCCTCCTGTTGGGGAGCTACTGGAAGCAACTGGGCAGAGGAGGAGCCACTGGCAGATTGGCCAGTGGCTAAGGTTAAGGCCTCTCTGGCATCTGTCTGAAGGAGGGGTGTGGGGCCTGGAAGCTAAAGGCCAGTGGGCCAGTGGGGCCTGCGGGTTCAAACCATGGCCTTCTTCCTTGGCCCTGAGCAAGGTCTTTCCCGGTCAGCCACCTCCAGAGCACTTGTCTCCAGGCCCATCCAACAGGCCTCTGGAGCATTTCTAAAAGTCTTCACCAAGATGTTCAACTGGCTCCTCAAGGGCTACCTGGCTACAGCTGAAATCAGCACCTGTGCTTGGCCCATGGCAGATATTGAGTAACTACTTTCAAACTGAACTAAGATCCAACTGTCCAATGAACTCATGAGCTGGGTTTTAGGGTTTGGTTTTAGGTCTTCCTGGGGATCAATCAACTCTCTTGGTCCAAAAGTCTCAAAATTCTTAAGGTTTCCTGAAAAGAAAATCTACGGTTCCTATCCCTATCTATTAGTTGAGAAATAATTTCATTACATTTCACTATAATCCAAGTAGGAGTCTTTGACCCCATTCTCTAGGTGAGCAAACAGAGACCCAGGGGTAAAGAATGGGCTTAGAAAGCCCAGGTAAACCAGCTGTCTCTCCTCTCCCACCCTGCATACGGGTCCTCTCAGTGGCCCACCCCAGCCAGTGTGGCCTGCAGCCTCACCCCAAAGACTCTTCTAGTCTTGTTCCTAAGGACCACTTTCCCATTTACACCAGCTTTGTGTGGTGATTCTGTTGTCATGGCAATGCATCAACCTGAAGGGGGTGGGGTGTGTGTGTGTGTGTGTGTGTGTGTAAGTTTGGAAGGCACCGCTGGATGTAGTGGTGGGGTTCTAATTGGTTTGATAGTTGCTAGGGTCAACTGGTCTGTGATTGGCTGACTCTATTTATGGGTCCACCCTGTCCTAGAACCCTCTGGGGATGCAGCTGTTGCCTCATCTGAAGTCTAGAATGGTGTGTGTGTGTGCGTGCATGTGCATGCACATGTGTAAACACATGCATAAATGCACACATGCCTGTACTTTCACCACAAATAGCGAAGGGAGGATATGACACTTGGTGAAGTGATAAAGCAGAAAGTCCCAGGCTCTCTGCTGGAATCACACTGCTACAGGTAAATGATATTTTTCTCCTAATCATCCCCACTTCTCATAAATCACTGGAAAACAATGGCCTAGGTTTAGCCAGAGGAGGAGTAAGAATTGGCTCAGTCTAGCCAAGTCCTGCTGTCCCAATGACTCACAGACCTCTAACTAGCTAGGCCATAATGGGTCAGTCCATCTTCAGGTCTCTGCTGCCAATCTCCCTCCTGCCTGCCAAGGGCAGGCTGTTGAGGTGAGTTTCTCTGTTCTCACTTAGCTTCTCATTTCTCATGTCTTTACTTGATTCCTGGAACCCTAAAAAGGGCCCTCTGGACAAACACTAATGATCTCATACACATGCAGGTCGTTCTACAGTGTGCAAAGCACTTTCACAGTCACCTTTGCATTTAGTTCTCCCATCCTGAAAGATAGGTATTCACACTATTCCCCTTTTGCTATAGAGGAAAACAGAGGCCCAGAGAAACAAAGTGATTTCTGCACCTTAGGGGCGGAGTCAAGTCTCCGGCCTCCCAAATGTCCCTGCAGTGCTTTCAGAGACTGTGCCTGCTCGGATATAGGGCCAGAGGGGAAGGGAGCCCCTGACAATGTGCAGAAAAGAGATTCTCTGTTGGCTGAACTCTCCCTGTCTGGATGCTGTGCCTCCCAGGGGAAAGTGGGGCGGGCTTGAACTTTGGTTTTTCAGATGCTATTCAAATGCACTGCCCACACAGTCTGCGAGGGAGAGCTGTTTCCAGCTTCCCTGCTCAGCCCTCAGGCACCCAGGGACGCCTGTCCTATCTGCAGAGCAGTGGCATGTCACTGGCAGCGAGGAGGAGACAGGAGCAGAGTGGGCAGTGGGCTGAGCTGCTGCTGGGGCCACCATTGTCATGCTGCTCAGGCCTGCCAGCATTACACTGCTACATGGCTAGGGTGACCAGGGCCTCCCGGGGATGCCACAGATCCATTAGACTAGCAGAGGGGAAGGGGGCTGCAGGACCCACAGGGGATGGGCCCCAGGGGCTGGGGTGCCAGGGAAACCCCCAGCTGAGGGTCTGTTGTCTGTCCCTCTGCAAGGAGGGAGTTAATGGGCTGCAGAAAAGAGAAACAGCATTGATTGGGTGCCAAGTTTACATCCTATTGAAACCTCACAACAGCCCCATGAGAGAGGGACTATTACCATCTCCATGTTATGGACAGGAAAGGAAGTCAGATATGTCAGTAACTGCCCAAGGTCACACAGTTTACATGGCTTTAAAGCTCAAAGTATTGCTTGGTAAGGCAGCAGGGAAGGAGCCCCTCCTTAGTGGAAGTCCTAGGTAGTGCTGCTTCTACTGTGTTTGGCTTATTGCAAGATGCACAGAAAGAAAGTTGGCATCGGAGGGCAGGGGACACCAAGGGGTTCAGAGGGAATTTTTGAAATGGTACAGATGAGAAGCAGAAAAATTAGGCTGACCCAAAGAGCACACATACACAGGCCACTGATGTGTATGACTGGGTATCATGGACTCCCTATCCAGCTAGTAAGCCCTGCCCAGGGTCACTCTTATCTGGTTCCCCCCTCCCACCTCCCATCTGCACTTGCCCTTTCCTGGGGTGGCCAAAGCTTGTTGTGCCATTCTCTGGGCTCCATATAGATGCCCACCTGCAGTTCATCCTCTTCCTTCAACCCTGAGAACCAAGACGATGCTTCAAAACTGAAGCTTTCAGAGATTCTGAAGCAATCCCATGTGGTGGTGGTGGGGCAGGGGGTGATGTGACAGGCTCTGAGCAGGTGGCTGGCCCTACATCATTTCAGCTGTCATCTCTCCTCTGTGGAGCTGTCCCAAATTCTCTTGGGCAGAGTTAAGGGCTTCTTCCTCTGCTCAGCCCATATTGCCTTGGTAGGTGACTGCCTCTGCATATCTTTCTCCACCTGAACAGTGAACTACATGAGAATAGGAACTGAGACTTAAAATCATCTATCCAATGCAAGGATCCAGTATAGTCCTTGTCACATAGCAGGTGTTCAATAAATGTTTGTTGAATGCATGAATGATGGTAATTATATTTACTATCTATTGAGTTCTCCATTATGAGCCAAGTCCTATGCCAGGCCCTTAGCATACATTACCCTAATATGTACAACAACCATACAAGATTGATTTTAGCAACTTTGTTCTACAGATGGCCTCAGAAAGCTTAGTTCGCTTGCCCAAGTTCACAGAGCAATCTAAGGAGGTGCTGGGAATCAAGGCTCACTTAAGAAGCTCCAAGGTCCCACTCAGCCTATCACATCAGTGCTTCTAATCTTGACACTGTTGGCTCCCTTATCTTCTAGAATCCAATAGTCACAAGGCTCCATGACCCTGTCTCCTACCTATCTCTCAAATCAGTTCCCTCCTCTCCTCCCTGCTGCCGCTGTGTGGTCTAAGCTCATTCTCATTTTCCACTAGGATCAGCCTCCACGTTGGGGGTCTTCAGGACCCAGCACCTGCCTGCCTCTACAGTGTCACCTCCACCCCAGACTTTAAGTTCTGACCTCATGGAACTGTGGGTCCATATTCTGTCACCCCTGCACTCTGCACAAGGGATTACCCCTCCTGGAAAAAACAGGGAAAATCCTTCCTCCTCTCTCTTGTCCCCTCATCCTGTAACCCTCACCTCAAGCAGAATAGCTCCTCCCAGGCATCCGTAACACTAAGCCTCCTCCTATAGCATCCTAACTGTTTGCTTCCCTGCCGCATTACACCAAGAGCTTCTTGAAGGCAGGGACTGGGTTATACTCATCTTATGTGCCCAGAGCCCTGGCTATCATTTGGCACATAAGAGATGTTGAGAAAGTGTTTGTGGAGACCTCTTGACTTCACCCCCCTAGTTCCTTGAAATTCTACCCTTTGGCCCCACTCTCTCTAATCCGCCAGTAAACAGTTCCTTGGCCATAGTCCTTCTCCCTTTCCCTCCCTGCCCCTTCCAAACCTCTTTATGGCCTCCTGCTCCCCAGGCTTCTCACCATCCACTGGACTACAGAGCCAGGAGGTTGCTGCACACCTAAAGGCTCTGGATCCATGCACCCCGACAACACTTGGCAGTTTCATTTTTAGGAAGTGCTGTGCCCAGGAAATCTGCATGCCTTGGCAGAGAAAGCGAGGTAAAAAAAAAAAAAAGAGTTGGGAGGCCCTCTGTGAGATGTCAACTACCCACAGGTCACTTTCATGCATGGGCCCAGTGTCTTCCTTCATTCTCCTGTCTCCAGCTGACAGTGGGACCTCAGGCCCATGTCTTCCAGAAGGAAACTGTTCTATTCTCAACAACTCACAGTCCCCAGGGAAAGGGTTCAGGTAGAAGCACATGTACACTGTGGAGCACCCCCTCCTAAGGAGACTTTCCCTGTGGGAGACCCCAGACTGCAGCAGCCAAGCCCTCTGGTAGGGCAGGGGACACAGACTGCCTTGATGAGGTGCCATAGAGCCAAGGCACACCTCCTCTCCTCACAGCCCTCAGGAGGAAGCAGAGATGAGAGGGGCCTGGCGGTGGGGCACTGTGCCCTTCACCCCCATCCCCAGATTTTTGTTTTGTTTTTTTTTTTGATCCTTGAAGTCAGATGATGTGGGTGCAATGGCCATTGGCCTGAGTTCTAATCATGGCTCGCCATGAACTCTTGTGGCACTTTAGGCCAGTTCAATTGCTTTGCTGGGCCTCAGTTTCCCCTTCTGTAAAATGAGAGTGCCACTAGCTGAACTAGCCATTCTGTAACCCTTCTTGGATGATTCTCAAATATCCTGTGGAGTTTAATTCCAAAAGGACAAGTTGAATTATCCTTCGGGGAGGGAAATGTGAATGATGGCTGGTAACAAGGGCTTCATTCAGGTCCTGGAGAGGTGGGAACTTTGTCCGGAAAGGTAAGTGACAAGTCCCACTGGATAGGGTAGAAGGGGAGCCCGAGGGCTACTATTGTCAAGAAAATGACCACCAAAATCTGTCCATGCACATTCGTTCCTAGGGCGCCAGGTACAGGGAGGTACCTAGGAGAGGTAGGAGCACCGCTTTTAGAGACAGGCAGGCACTCTCAGTGTACCCCTGGCGCCTTGGTGTCCTGGGGTGATCCAGTCCAGAAGGCCTCATCCCCTAGCCAAGGCTCTCAGGGCCGGTTTTAGAAACGAAACAGGAAGAGGCACTTGGACCCTGGTTCCCAGAGTGGGAGAAAGGGGTGGGCACCCGGGCAGAGGGAGCCCTGGGGATTGGTAGCGGCTGTGGGCAGGGCGGGAGGGCCGGGGGCGGAGTCAACTTGTACATGTGAAAAACTCTGGCGGGGGCCGGGCATTTTCCTTCCTCCTCCTCCTCCTCCTCCTCCTCCCTCCTCTTCCCCACCTTCCTCCACTCCCTCCCTTCCCCTCCCCTTCTACCTCCTCCTCGGCCAGCTCAGGTTGCAGCTTCTCTGGGGAACTGCTCACCTTTCCGGAGCAGGGGAAGCTGCCCCGTGCCCGGGAGGGAGCGGGCGCACCGCGGCCCCCAGGACACGCGCTGTGAGTCCCGCGGGCGGTGCGCCTGGGAGGAAGGGGGAGGTCGGAGGAGCGGGCACCGCGGCGCCGGGTATAAGGAGCAAAGGTAAGCGGAACGGCTCTTAAAGGCGCAGTTTTGCTTTTGCCCTGAGGCGAGAGGTTGGAGGGAAATACCGGAGCGGCGAGGGGAGAGCAGAGATCACGAGGCGTGATCTGTGTGATACTGTGTTGTGTGTTGAGGGGTGGGGGGTGCCCTCGAAAGGCCACTCGTAAGTTCCAGGTGCTTGAGAGGGAGGGTTATTTTGCAATCTCAGACCCCGCGCCCCCTTAGGGAGTCTCCATCTGGGATCACTTTGGCCCCTGGGCTCCCGTCTGAACCCTACAAAGCAAAGTTTTCCACCCAGTCCGGAACCAGGCGCTTTCTAAGCTCCCTTCATTCTGGGAAGGGCAAGGGTCAGGAGTCTCCAGGGACCAAAGGACCCGAGAGTGTGGGGCCACATCGCTGCCTTGAAGGGCTTCCTGGGCTCTGGTGAACTTTCCAGAGCGGCAGGCAGGGGGTGGGAGGCCGGAGCCCTGGGAAGAACGTGGAAGGACACGTGAAGCCCTGCAGGTCCCAGTTCTGGGGGAGGCAGGGGTCTGGGGAATGCTGCTGCTTCTCTCTTTCCACCCCGGAAGACCAAAGGGGCAGTGCCCCCCTCCACCCCTCATCAACAGGCGACAGAGGGTTAATGCAGCAGAGGGAAAGGAGGCTGGGTGGGGCCGGGGGGAGTGGGCGGTGACCTGTTGGGCTAAGGAGATGTGCCTTGAGGATTCTGCTGTAGTTGAGGGACACCATCAGGAATCTGAAATCCAAAATCGGGTCTGGACTGGAGGCCTCTGTTTTCGCCCTGTGGGGGGCGGGGATTCCCTGAAGGTGTCTGCAGACCTTGTGCTGGGTGGGAGTTGGGCTGCAGAAACAGTGAGGGGTTTTCTGTGCTGCAGGGTCAGCACCCTCCTAGGCACCAGCCCTGCCTCTCTTCATTCTCTCTGGGCACCTCCCGGCAGTCGGGGTGGGAGGATTGACACTGTGGGAGTGAGAGGCCCTGGAACCTCTTCCGCGCTATCTGCTACTGTCTCCCCTTCTTCCCCACCCCTAGCCCAGCCCTCGGCAGTTCCCCAGCTGTAGCCTGGGCCCTGTGACTCACTAACACCACCGGCTTGCCCCTCCTGTGTCAGCACCCAGTGAGCTTCGGCATGTTCGCGTGGCATTCCCCACCCGGGCATGGGCATGCAGCACATTCCTGGACACGGGCCTGAGAGGATGCCTGGAGCGCCTGGTGGACTGGCACGTCCTCAGAGATCCCCTGCCTTTAGCCTGGCCTTGGGAGGGGCCTGGGAAAACGGTGCTGAGGGTGCTGAGGGTCGGTGGAGTACAGGGCGACACTGGCTCCAGGTCCGGGTTTGCATCCTGAAGGCGTTCCAGAGAGAGGGTCACCTTGCCACAGCAAAGCTGCTATCTCGGGTTACCCTTTCCCAGCCACCTCTTGTGCAGCTGAGGAGGCTGTGGGGCTGACCCCTCCCCCACCCTTAATCTGGGGTGTACCTGACCATTGGGTTCCCAGGACTCTCCCCACTGGGTCCCCAGGACTCTCCCCATACCCTGCCAGGAGAATGGAAGAAGCTCTCCACGCGTGCCAGAAGAAGTTCTTCCCAAACTTATCGGGGGTGCCAGAGGCAGAGTAGACAAGCCTTAGTGGCCACCATTTGTTGAATATCTACTGTGCGCCAAGCAGTGCGTCACAACTTTATGAAGTAGGTATTATTATCATCCCCATTTTACAGGTGAAGAAACTGAGTCTCTGAGAGACCAACTTTTCCAAGGTCACACAGAGGTGGGATCCAGCCCACTTCCGTCTGACCCCAAGCCCCTGCTGTTAACCCCTGCCCCATTGTGGGGAGGTTCCGGCCCACTCTGGAGTTCTCTGGTCTGCGTCAGTCCTCAGGAGAAGAAAGAATGGGGGTGATGCTCCAAATATTGAGGCTCCCATCTGTCTGTCCTGCACTAGGCAGAGCCAGGCTTCTCCATGGGGCACAGGAGAGAGGGCACCAGATCTGAGGAGCAAATAGGTTCTTGGTCTGAGATCTCGTGGGATCAGGTTGCCAGCCCTGCAAACCCCCGCTCAGGTCTAGAGGACATGGAGCTGCCTTTCAGGGTGCATTTGCTTCCTCTACAGACTCGGACTCTGTCCTCTGCCTACTTGGGCCGTCCCGCACTCGGGAATGCGTCCTACACTGTAGGGCAGAGCCCGGCTTGACTCTTCCCGGTTCCTACCCTAACCAAGCCTCTACTTTCTGGGATCACCCTGTTGGGACTTTTGTCCAGCATCTCCATCTACCTGTCCTCTGATTCCTTCTGTTCTTCTCTAACTGAGCTTGAGAACTAAAGGGGAGGGCAAACTTCTGGCCTTGGTGGAATCCAGCTCCAGCATATAGTAGCTATGTGACCTTCCCCTCACTAGCACACTCGTGAATTTCTCCCAGCATCCGTTCCCTCATCTGTAAAATGAGGATCATAATAGAGGGCTGTTATAAGATTTAGGCTGGGTGCGGTGGCTCACGCCTGTAATCCCAGCACTTTGGGAGGCCGAGGTGGACGGATCACGAGGTCAGGAGATCGAGACCATCCTGGCTAACATGGTGAAACCCCATCTCTACTGAAAAAAAAAAAAAAGCACAAAATTAGTCAGGCGTGGTGGCAGGTGCCTGTAGCTACTCGGGAGGCTGAGGCAGGAGAATGGCGTGAACCCGGGAGGCGGAGGTTGTAGTGAGCCGAGATTGCACCGCTGTACTCCAGCCTGGGCGACAGAGCGAGACTCCGTCTCAAAAAAAAAAAAAAAAAAAAAAAAAAAAAATAATGCACAGTGCCTGGCATGTAGCAGAGACTAAATAACTGGTAGCTATAGTGGTTGGTGGTGCTTGTTTGGAAAGGGAATTTCCTGGTGATTGCACCAGGGCTGGTCTAGAGACCAAGGTAGATTTTCCCAGCCCCATCAGGCCAAGCCCTTAGTTAGACAGAATCTTTACTGCTCTTCCAGGTTAGGGAGGAGGGCTCTGTGTAAGAGAATGGTGGTGGTGGTAGGGGAATGGGTTGGATGGAAATCTTCCAGGAGGGGCCAGGAATCTGTGCTGTGGGGGCCCTACCTTCTGGCAGTTATGAATGAGGCAGGCACTGGGAGCTGGAGAGGCAGCAGTCTCTTGCTCTGAGGGCCCTCTGGCAGCGCCTTCTTTCCCTGAGGTAGGAGGACCCTCCCCTGGTACTTAATTAATTGCAGTCCCTGTTCTGCTCTGTTGTTCAGGGTGAGTGGCTGGCCTGGTTCCAGGCCCACCTGATTAGCCCACCTTTGGCAATAAGTCACATTTCTCTTCCTCGGCTCTGTGTCCCACCATAACCCCTTACGTCCCCTTCCCTGGACTTTTCACCTTTGCCCTCCAGGCATTCCCTGCTGAGTGGGCACTTTCCCACATCCAGGGGGTGGGAGCAGACCAAGGTTAATCTTGTCCTGGCTCCCACAGCTGCTTACACACACACAGCTGCATGCACATGCACACACAGGCTGGGCTCACAACAGCTCAGGCCAAGGGTCTGGGATCCAGGATCACTACAGAGCTGGTAGCTGGGCCTGGCTGGAGCTGGCCAGTGGTTCAGCAGCAAGTCTGGAAGAGGAAAAGCCGTGGGCGCATCTCCGCCAGACCTCCTGTCTGAAAGAGAGCCCATCTGCTCCTAGAATCTCCACAGCTACATCTGCAGAGGAGGAGGGGTAGTGAGGCAAGTGTGAGGTTTGGTTTTAAACTGAAAAGGGAGGTGGGCGGATTGCTTGAGCCCAGGAGGTCGAAACCAGACTGGGCAACATGGCAAGACCCCATCTCTAAAAAAATACAAAAATTAGCCAGGTGTGGTGGCACGCGCCTGTAGTCCCAGCTACTCGGGAGGCTGAGAGGGGAGGATCGCTTGAGCCTAGGAGGTTGAGGCTGCAGTGATCCATGATTGCATCACTGCACTCCAGCCTGGGCAACAGAACAAGAACTTGTCAAAAAAAAAATTGAAAAGGGTCTTAGGCCGGGTGTGGTGGCTCATGCCTGTAATCCCAGCACTTTGGAAGGCCAAGGCGGGTGGATCACTTGAGGCCAGGAGTTTGAGACCAGCCTGGCCAACATGATGAAACCCTGTTTCTCCTAAAAATACAAAAATTAGCTAGGCATGGTGGCGTGTGCCTGTAATCCCAGCTACTCGGGAGGCTGAGGTAGGAGGATCGCTTGAACCCAGGAGGTGGAGGTTGCAGTGAGCCGAGGTCGCACCACTGCACTCCAGCCTGGGCGAGAAACAAAACAAAACAAAACAAAAAACGGGTCTTGAAGCAAAGCTCCCTGACAGCATGAGTAACCCTGAAGAGACTGGACACCTTGCTCTGGGAGACATGGGCCAGAACTTTTGAAAGGACTATGATGAGATCCTCTTTCCTGGAGCTCTTGATAATGGTCCCACCCTCTGAGCCTCCCTACCCCCACCATTAAATAAAAGTCTTCCCTAGAAATGGTGGAGTCGGGATAGACAAGATGACCCAATAATGGCTGGCTGGTGCACTCATCATTATTTATATGTTGAGTGTATGTCTCCTGTCCACCATGGGTGGAGGCAATTTATGGACTTTGGGGTCAGTTCAGATTCTGCCTCTTCCACTCAGTAACTGGTTGCCTTAGGTTAAGTAATTTGCTCACCCAGGTTTCAGTTTCCTCATTTATAAAATAGGAGGATAATACTATTATCTCATGTGATTGCGAGGACTCCAGTGAGATAATGTCCACCTAGTAGCTCTTTGCTTTACCTGATGTCATTATCAAGGGGTGGTGGCAGAGTTAATGGGCTACATTTGGTAGTTCTCAGTGCCTTTGGCCCCACTTGATATTTTTTTCTGAAATCAGGGTCCCTGCAAACATCAGGGATCAGCCCCCAAATTGGGAAGAGAACTCTATTCTTAAAATGTTTCTGGCCAGGCACAGAGGCTCACACCTGTAATCCCAGAACTTTGGGAGGCCGAGGTAGGTGGATCACCTGAGGTCAGGAGTTCAAGACCAGCCTGGCCAACATGGCGAAACCCCATCTCTACTAAAAATACAAAAATTAGCCAGGCATGGTGGCAGGCACCTGTAATCCCAGCTACTCCAGAGGCTGAGGCACGAGAATCGCTTGAACAAGGGAGGCAGAGGTTGCAGTGAGCCAGGATTGTACCACTGCACTCCAGACTGGGTGACAGAGCAAGACTTTGTCTCAAAAAAAAAAAAAAAATTTCTACCCTCCCTCACTCTGAACACTGTTCCCCATCTTATCATTATCGAGGGAAATTCAGAGCTCCAGAATGATTACTGCCCTCACACCTTGCTTCCCTAAAGAAGCCTGCCCTTTTCTGCCTGGGGAGTCTCCTCAGGAACCAGACCTTCTTCTCTTCTCTGGCCCCAGCCACCCAGCACCCTGGGCTGCGGGGTGACCAGCCCAGGAGGTGACAGGGCTGTCCTTCCCACATCCTGGCAGGACCCACTGCCTGGAAGCAGGTGGGCGGTAGGTGTTATGCTAGAGGGCATCACTCTTGACAAAGCAGCACTGGCTCCCAAACTCTGCCTGCAACATGGGATGAGCCCAGGAAAGGGGTCACAGAGCCCCTCCCTGATCCTGCCGTGGAGCCCAGCTGGCAGCATCCCCTGCCGTGGCTGGGCTGGGTGCCATGTTCTGTGTGGGTGCCAAACCTGGCATGGCTCCTTCCCAAGGAAGGTGGCCCTTGGGGATGCTGTGACTTTCTTGGCTGTGGTGACCAATAAAGGGAGTGCCATCTCTACGCAGGCCCATGCAGTCCCTTCCAACCCTGCACAAAGTCAGAAGCCCAAAGTGTGGTCCCAGCTCTGCCCTGTCACCCTCAGTGGCCTCGGGCAGATCGCTCACCTTTCTGAGTCTTGCCTTCTTTGCCTGAAACATGAGGGTGCAGACCAGGGGATTTCCAAAGGCCCCTCTGAGGCTGCTGGTCTGAGGCTCCGACTTTTGCCTGTCCTGCTAACAAGGTGAGCTGTGTGCTGGGGTCCCAAGAGGGGCTCAGCCTCCTGTTCCTCCAAACTGTAGAGCCAGGGGCTTGCCCCAGCTGATGGCTGGGTACCTGGTCCCTGCCATGCTGAGATGGGCAAGGAAATCCTGGAATGCCTCAGCCCTGTCAATTAGGAGGAGAACAACTACCTCGCAAAGAAATGGATGCTGGATTCAAACACTACACAGGCACTGGATGCTCAAGGCTAGGGGTTGGCAAACCATGGCTCTTGGCCAAGTCCCGACAGTTTTTGTATGGCCCATGAGCTAAGAATGATTTTTACATTTTTAAGCAGTCGGTAAAAAGTCAAAAGAAGAAAATAAAGTTTTGTGACCCTTAAACATTTTATAAAATTCAAATGTTAGTGTTCATAGTAAAGTTTTACTGGTGTGAGGCCAAACTCATTCATTTACATCTTGCCTGTGGGTGCTTTTGTGCTGCAAAGGCAGAGTGGCAGAGTGGCGACAGAGACGATGGCCCGCAAAGCCTAAAATAGTGGCTGTCTGGCCTCTTACAGAAAAGGTTTGCTGACCCCTGCTCAAGATAATCATAGTTCTCTCCAGGCCTTGCACTAAACTGCTCCAGGATCTCAATCTAAAAGTACTTTCTTTTCATTTAAAAAGAAGTGTTGCTATTTTCTTCTTATGTAAGCAATAAATGTTCATTATGGAAATATTAGAAGATGCAGATAAGCAAAAAGAAGACATTAAAATCACCCATAATTCTATCACCCAGGAATAACTACTGCTGGTGTTTTGACTTACCACCTTCTGGGTTATCTAACAGTGTGCTGTGTTTATATGTGCATGCCTGTGACACATGTGTATATCCTGCATACGTACAGCTTTTACAAACTGTACACATCTGTCCTCTTCACTTAAAAACACATCTTGGCCAGGTGCGGTGGCTCACACCTATAATCCTAGCACTTTGGGAGGCCGAGGCGGGCGGATTACCTGAGTTCAGGAGTTTGAGACTAGCCTGGGTAACATGGTGAAACCCCATCTCTACTAAAATACAAAAAATTAGCTGGGTGTGGTGTCGTGCGCTTGTAGTCCCAGCTACTTGGGAGGCTGAGGCAGGAGAATTGCTTGAACCCGGGAGACAGAAGTTGCACTGAGCCAAGATCACGCCACTGCACTCCAGCCTGGGTGACTCCGTCTCCAAAAGAAAACACACACACACATACCTCTAACTGAACCCTTGGGGGACACACAGGCAGGGTGCCCAGAAGGCAGCTGCACCCAAGCATCTGGAGCTGAGGGGCTTGGTGGGGCCAGGGCTACAGATCTGGAGTCATCAGCACGCGGGTGGTGGTTTCCACTTCGGGAGGGGATGAGGTCACCCAGGAAGCATGCCCAGAGAGGAAGAGCAAAGGGCCAAAGAGAGAATTGTGGGAGTGTTGACATTCAAGGGACAGGTAGAGGAAGTAAGTCCACCAGACCCGGGAGGAAGGAAGAAGCAGGAGGAGACCCAGGCAGCCAAAGGGAGTGGAATCCGAGGCCCAGGGCCCAGGACAGTGCCTGGCGCTGAGCAGGTGCTTGTGAAATGAGTGAGTGACTTTGAGGAGGCTGAACCCTGGTGAGTGAGTGACACTGATAAAAGACATTTAGAGAACAGTTGAACAACTATGAGATGTTCAGAGGCCTGGGGGAGGCCATGCAGGCCAAGGAGGCCTCCTGGGCCCAGCCTGGTGGGAGGGAGGCCATGCGGAGTGTGAGGAGGGAGAGGCGGGGCAATCCAAGTGACCAGAAGCTGGGAGCTGGTCAGAGGAGCCCAGTGGAGTTCTTGGCGGTGACATGAAGCTGCTTTTTTTAAGCTAGTCTCTCAGATTGGAATGAGGAAAGTTGGAGACGACCAGCCAGGGGTTCTTGTCAGAATGTGGGCACTGGGCGGCGTGGGCCAGCTGGTGGGGGTGGAGTATAAATAGGAATATGGTTTAGAGATGCTGGGAAATCCTCCCCATTCCCTCCCCCTCCTGAGACTGAGAGGTCCCCAGGGATGCCAGGCTCAAAGGCCCCTGCAGTTCTGTTGCCAAAGTTGGGCATGGAGAGAAACCCAGAGACAGGACTGAAGGTCCCATGACAGGCCAGCAGGAGAGCTGGACACGGGATATCTGGCTGAGAGAGGGCTATTGGGTGGGTGAACTCAACACTCTTCTTTTCTTCTCCAATTTATTGTGTAAAAGATGGTAGGCACCAGTTTCTGTGCCAGAGCAAGTGGAGAGGAAACAAGCTGTTTCCTCTGGTATTTAAGGAAGACCTAAGGAAAGGTTCCAGACTTTGGGATCTCAAAAACACAGGACAGTTGGGGAAGGACCTTCCTTGAGTGTCTTTAAAGAGGGCTGATAAAAGGAGCAGAGAGGGCTCCTCTGGCTGGGAGAGTAAGGCGGGCTTTCTCTGGAGGCAGGAGGATGGGGGAGATGGAGGCCAGGCCTATCCTGGCCCTTGCCCCTTGCTCTGGTCTCTGATCTGGGATGTTCTGTACGCCCAGGACCAGAACTGACAGAAGGGCTCCTTGTCCCATCTTATCACTTGGACATCCTGAGCCTCCTCAGAGAGTGCAGACCAGCTTTAGCTGGGCCCCCAAAAAAGGTCAAAAGGAAAATACCAGAAGATGCAATATGCACCTCTATTCCTTAAGCCTCAGGAAGCCAGAGAGCAGCAGGGTGGACATCAGTAGGACTGAAGTGGAGCCACACAGAGGGGCTAGATAGGAGGTCGTGTGGGGTCAGAAAGGGTCATCTGTAGGGGTCAAGGCCAACATCTGAGCCTGAGTAGTGCACCTGCCCTACAAGGCTCTGAGAATCTTCCCTGAGTGATAGAGCCAGGAAGAGGGCCACAAGCCCCTCCGAACCCCTTCCCCACAGCCCTGGAGGCCCTAGCTCAATGCATGTTGCAGGAGGAACTTCTCATTCGGGTTCTTCTCATTCCAGTCCACCCCTCACTGTAGGATGGTGCCTCCAGCCCAAAAACCTCCACAGACCTCACTGGGGGAGTAATTGCTGGGCAGGACACTGCCCCCACTGCCTCAGCCCATCTCCCGCTGCTGTTGGGCCACATGCTGGCTAGAGGAAGAGGGTCAGGTTTCAGCTGAGGCCTCGAGTCCAGCTTTCATATTTCATTTGCTGGTCATTTGAGGGCTCACTTTGTCTCAGGCTTTGGGTCAGGCTCTGGGGGTGCAATGACGAGTCACGCCACAGTGCTTGCCCTTAAAAAGCCCACAGGCAAACTAGGGAAATGACAAGTAAACAGTTACAGGACAGGGAGCCAAGTGCCCTGCCTTGGGATGTCAGAAAGCTGTGGGAGCACAGAAGAGGGACCATCACCTGGCTGGGGACAGTGGAGTTTCGGGCTAGAGGAGATGCAGAGGTCCCCATGGCAGGATGAGTAGCACGTTGTTGGTTTCTCCCTAGTCCCCCATCCATCTGCTTGGGTACCAATCCCTGTATTCCTGTTCCCTCTGAAACCCAAGAAAACTGAGGAGGAAGCATGCCCCGGGGAGTCTGGGGCTGGGTGACTGGACAGTCTAGGCTTACTCTAGTGTGCCCAGAAAGAGGACAGGGCCAGGCCCACCCCAATCATGCTCAAGTCTAACTAGGACAGGAGATGGCCTAATGAGAAGATACACCTAGAAACAGGTCCCTGGCCTGCCTGAAAGTGGAAGGAAAGGCACCAACATTTATTGCACGTGGCAGTGTGTCCTGGATCTTAAAGGTGACTAAGATACAGTCTTTGTCCTTGAGGGATCTAATGTTTCCATATCTGTAGAGGAAAGAGGTTTAAACAAGTCATCATGAAGCAGTGGCTCGATGGCCTCATTCAGTCACTTGTTCATTCGTTCCACAAATGCTGAGTACCTGGTGGGCTCCTTACTCTGTGTAAGGCATCAGGGAAACAAAAATGTTAAGGCCCCATTCTTGTCCTGAAGGATCTCACAGTCTAGTTATGAGTGTGTGCTGGCTGCTCTGGAAGGGACAAGGAGGAAGCATCTCATTCTACCTAGAGGAAGAAGGTGTGGTCATGCACAGTCTCCCAGGGGAAGTGACCCATGAGTTGAGTTTGGGAGTGGTTTTACCGAGGGAAAAATTGAGGAAGGGCATCCCAGGCCAAATGATTGCAAAGCTGTGGGGTGTGAGTGGAGTTTGCTCTGGGAATGCCAGGTACATTTGATAAAACCAGACCTTCTGGGGAGGGGTGAGAGCTGAGGCTCAAGAAGACAGGGATCCAAAAGCCTGGTCTGCCAGGCCCTGGAATTTGAACTTTTTCCTGAAGGCAGTGTTAGCTTTGAAGGATTTTTTTTTTTTTTTTTTTTTGAGATGGAGTCTCGCTGCAACACCCAGGCTGGAGTGCAGTGGCGCCATTTCGGCTCACCGCAAACTCTGCCTCCTGGGTTCAAGCGATACTCCTGCCTCAGCCTCCCAAGTAGCTGAGATTACAGGCGTGTGCCACCATGCCCAGCTGATTTTTGTATTTTTAGTAGAGACAGGGTTTCACCATATTGGCCAGTCTGGTCTTGAACTCCCGACCTCAGGTGGTCCACCCACCTTGACCTCCCACAGTGCTGGGATTACAGACATGAGCCACCGCGCCTAGCCACTTTGAAAGATTTTAAATGGGCAAGCGACATCATCAGAAAGCAGCTGAGAAAGTTAAGTCTAGGACGCTGATGGCAGTTGGATTGGAGGCCAAGTATTATTCTCAATTAGCAGCAAGGAAACTGAGGCATGGGGTGTTTTTTCAGGTCACAGCTACTAAGTGGGGTTTCTTCCATGACACCAAACTGCAGAGAATTTTGGAGAGCAAGGCTAGACACCGTGTGTTCCTCACTGCAGGACATTTCTGATTGGAGTGAGACTCTAGGAGACAATGGCGTATTTGTCTGGAGCAAGGGCGACCCTGATCCCCACTTTGCCTCCTGAGCAGACATCCAACAGGTTTGCCCAAATTGCTCCCGGAAGGCCTTCCCCGCCTACTTCCTGCATTCCAAACAGAGGCTGTGGGAATCCTCTTGGAGCTCTGGGACTGTCCAGAGCATCTGTTTGTTGGCAGGGTGACTGCAGGCCTGGCTATCCTCATTTCTGGCCACTCTGAAGGTTTCAGGCCTGCAGCCTCTCTCATCCAGGCTGGGGCAGGGCAAGGTTGTGAGGAGGCCCCAAGGCTTCTGCTGCTGACGCCGCCACAGCTCCAGGCAGCTAAGGGGTGACTGGCTTCCCCTGAGGTTTGTCCCAGGCTCCTGGAAACTAAGGCCTCCAGCTGTGCAGAACAGGGTCAGCTGGAGGATGAAGGAAGAGATGGTATCTGCAGGCTCCCAGCAGGCACAGTTCTCCCTGGGAGGAGGGAGTGTCTCTGAGGTCCTAGCTCATGACGTCTGCAAACTTGGTCAGCCATGGCCTCTAGTTCTTTGAAATTCACCCAAGGGCCAAAGTGGCTGAGTGACCGAGGCAGGGGCAGGGACTGGGAGATAGGGTGTCATAGGGATCCTGGCTGGTGGTCAGCCTTCGTGACTGAAGGGAAGACCCTCTGGGCTTCAGAAAGTGGGCAGCCACAAGTTACGTCCCCCAACCCCTGCCCCTGGGCCCACAGAGACCAAGATTGAAAAGAAAAGCAAACAAAACAAAAAGAGGGACTTGGGGATGCATCTAACATGTGCCTGGAACACAGCAGGTGCTCCACATGTGCCTGTAAAGCAGACACATGCCTGCTGTATGCCACCAGCACCAGGCATAGAGACCAACGTGCTCCAGATGAGGGAGACAGGTGAAAAGTCACGCCCCATTGAAGGAGGGGCACCTGGTGGTCCTGGGGGTGGGGTGGAGTGAGTTCCAGGAAGCTCCTGAAGGCCCCAGAGACTTGTACAGCATGCAGGGGCAATGAAGAGGGGCAAAGCCAGAGACGAAGGGGCCCCAGATCTTGAAGGGCCTTTGGGTGCAGGCTGGGGAATCGGGGCTTTGTTCAAGAGGAAGGCAAAGAGGCTTCTTGAAGGGGTTTGCTGAGAGAAGACTCCAGTCCTGGCCCCAGGAGCTTGAGAAGTGAAGCTGACTTTCCCGCCCTCCAGTCTACAGCATCCCAGATTCCTGGGATGCTCTGTCAACCTCCTTCTCCACCTCCATGGTCTCCAGGTCAAGGTCTCTCAGGGGTCCAGCCCCAAGGCAGGTATTAGGTCTGTGGCCTGGCACAGGTTGTCCCAGCAGTCAGTGGGCTGGGAATCTGCCCTGTCTGGACACTGGGGCCCTGGGGCTGGCCTGGCCTGCTCTGTGGAGCTTTCTTTCCTCCTAAGAGAGAAGATGGGGCTTGTCTGCCAGTAGCCGGGGTTCCCTGCCTTGCACGGGCCCCACCCTGCGTGGCCCTGCAGTTGTCTAAGTAGGGGGGACCCTGCCTCCCTGGCCCTTCTCCCCCTCACATCTGCCAAGAGATGATCCTGCTCCCTGTCTCCTGGCCCTCTTCCATCCTGGGATCCAAAAGCACCTTGCAATAAGGAAGTCTGCAGGGATGTTTGATGAAGTTTATATGAGGACTCTTTTTGTCTGGGCAGTAGCTTGAGAGAGGAGAGCCAAGCTTTGCTGGACATCTTCCCTGTGCCAGTGGTGTGTTGTGTTGGCTCACCCAGCATGTTTGCTCAGATACCACTGTACGTTGAAAATGTCACCTGCCCAACATCCAACTCCTGGTCTTCCCACTGAAACCACTACTCCCAGAATGCCTTGTCTCCTCCAGTGACTGTTCTATCTCTCCACTCCGGCTGCTTGGCGAAAACCCTGCTGCAGAGTCATGCTTGACTCTTTTCTCACCCACAACATACAATCCATCTGCAGAGCTCTTTGCCTCCACCTTCAAAATATAGCCCAAATCCAGCCACTTCTCACCATCTCCACTGCCCCCCGCTGGTCCCAGCCACCATCAAGCTCTCTCCCCTGGGCCTCAGCAGCAGCCTCCTGCCCGGGCTCCCTGCTCTCCCCTTGCTCCCCTTGTCTGTTCTCAACACAGCAGCGTGTTAAAGCCTCAGTGTGATCATGTCACTCATCCGTTCAAACCCTCCTTACCCCTCGAGGCCCAACACAGCTGCTCCGCACTCCCATCCAGCATCTTCTCCAGCCACATCATTGTCCTGCAGTGAACCAGACTTACTTCTGCCTCAGGACCTTTGCCCCTGCTGTTCCCTTGTTGACCTGCTTCTCCCAGACCCTGCATGACTGACCCCCTCACCTTACACCTACTCTGGATTTCTCCTGAGATGTCACCTGCTTCTTGGGGAGGCCTTCTTGACCACCCTACTTAAACTTGCAACTGCACTTCCCACACCTTCCCTCTTCCCTGCATGAATTCCCATCATTGCACTTGTCACCATCCATCATACTGTGTATTCATTCTGTCTATTGTCCGCACCCCCCTACCCCTGTTAGAAAGTATTAGGAAAGGAATTAATGTCTGTTTCATTCATCTGTGGATTCTCAGGGTCTACAACAGTGCCTGGCATGCAGCAGGTGTTCAATAATTGTTGAATGAATGAATGGAGCCAGGGGTGAGAGGGGTTTTATCACGTCATTGCGATTCCATAGCCTGCTAGTGGTAGCACCAAAGTTTGAAACTGAGTTTGTTTGGCACGCAGTTCAGAGTAGGAGAAAACAGTCAAGCCTGGGCCACAGGGAAGGGGCAAGGGCGGGGAGGGCTCCAGGTAGGAGAAGAAAGGAGCAATATGGTCACGTTTGTGCACTTGGCAACAACCAGGAAATTGCTGCGTGATTCTGGGCAAGCCATTTCCCCTCTTGGATGTTCAGCATCTTCACTGGGCAAGGGATGGGGATGGAGGCTGTGTGAGCGTCTTCCCCTGCTAACATTCTGGGAGGCCAGCCCTGCTCACTGGGGGCACAGTGGCCTCTGGCAAGTGCTGGCTTTCTTCCCAGCCTGGCTCCTCCTTCCTCCTTCTGTGCCACCCATGGCTCTGGCACCAGCAGGAGGTTCTGGGCCGGCTGCTGTGTCCCTGGGAAGAAGCAACTGGAGCTGGCTGAGCTTTATGACTTACCTGGGCAGGGAGGTGGGAGGGGAGGTTGGCTGGGGTCTGCCTGCCCACCCTGCAGCTCCTCAGTGGGACTCTGCTCCTTCAACTTCCTCCACCCCCCACTGCCGGGCCAGTATCCCTGGACACTCATCGCCCTCTTCCCCTGGCACCAATTGCACGGGGACAGCCCCAGATGGCTCCTTGGTCTGGGGACAAAGGCTGTGCTGTGCCTGGCCCCGGGCTGGCCTCAGGCTGGTCATACTGAGCCCTTCTGTCCCCACTTGGGGGTGAGGGGTAGATAGCACTAAGGTGACAGGCCTTTTTCCTGTCTCCCTTCCCCCTCGACCCCCAAATCTGAGGAGCTGACTCTCCCAAGGGAAAAATGACAGAGGCATCTTGTGTCTTGACCTAGGGAACAACAGACTATTCACTGCCCAGTCTGCCCTGTCACACCCAAGACCCTGCTGGGTTCAATGCCCTGGTTGTCCCCAGCAGAGAGAGACATCCACTCTGCTGTGGTCACCACCCCCACCGCCTGCTCCCCTGTCACCATCAGGAAGTCCACCCTACATCTGACCTCCATCCTTCCATCAGGAAGTCCATCCTACATCTGACCTCCATCCTTCCATCAGGAAATCCATCCTACATCTGACCCCCATCCCTTCTGCTGCTGTGACAGCCACTTCCTCTCAGGCTCCTGTCCTGCGGGTGGAGAACAGCTGGTCCCCATCGCCTGCACTGCTTGGCCCCACATTCCTGCTCCAGTCAGCTGCCTCTGGCCTCACCCTTCCTCCAGCTCCCAGCCCCACTGTCCTCCCCACCCCAGGCACAGGCTGGTGGCTCCTTGCTCCTCACTGAACCTTAGGGAGAGCAGGTGTGACTCAGGGCTGAATCTCTTTTGTCTTGCAGAAATGGGGGGCCTCCTTCCCGGAGGCTTTTAATGAGCTCCCCTCCCCTCACCCTACAAGCAAGAGCAAGGGTGTGAGATTTATGGTTGCTACTTGTAGATTCCTGAGCCGCAAATCCAACATGCCATCCCATAAATCCCAGACTGCAGGACGGTTTTATGGGGAAGCCCTGTTTTTAGAAAGGGGTGTGGCTGGTCTCCCTCCTGGCAGAGCTCAGACCTCAGGGAGCCAAGTGCCTGCCTCTCCCCACCCCCAGAGAACAACCATGACAAAGCACGGGGACATTGGGGACATCAGTTGGTGTGGTGGAGATGCACTGGCTTCCAGGACAGAGAGACTTCCTCTCCTGTGGGGGGCCTCCTGCTTCCCTTCCCTGCTCTGAGGATCCCCCGTCTCAGCACAGGAGGGTGGCCTGGAAGCCTGGGCAGATAATTGTCCCTGACCTGGACCTTAGATGTTTTCCTGGTCACCGCTCCAGGTGTACATCATTGGAGATGTTTTTTCAAATGCATTTTCCCAGGCACCATTCTCAGAACCTCAGTTCCAGAATCTCAGGGTGAGACCTAGGAATCTGAATTTTTTTACAATGCTCCCTGGTGATTCTGATGTTCAGCTATCTTTGAAAATAATTGGCTGAGTGCTGTGGCTCATGCCTGTAATCCCAGCACTTTGGGAGGCCGAGGAGGGGCAGATCACTTGAGGTCAGGAGTTCGAGACCAGCCTGGCCAACATGGCGAAATCCTGTCTCTACTGAAAACACAAAAATTAGCCGGGTGTGGTGGCGCGGGCCTGTAATCCCAGCTACTCAGGAGGCTGAGGCATGAGAATCGCTTGAGCCCGGAAGGTGGAGGTTGCAGTGAGCCAAGATCACGCCACTGCACTCCAGCTTGGGTGATAGAGCACGACTCTATCTCAAAAAAAAAAAAAAGAAAAAAGGAAAAAAGAAAATAATTGATCTTTACAAGGAGCCATCTCCACTCTCCTATCTTGCTCGGAAATGGGAGTCACCAGGTAGGTGTGTCTGGGTCCTCTTGTCACTGGGACCCACACCCCCTGCCACCATCATGAAGCCTCCAGATTAGATCTCTGTGGCCTGAATGCTATACACAAGTGTGAGGCATGGTGGCTGCCCTCTGGAAGCTTCCTGTCTGCAAGAGTCCTGCAGACAGCAGGCCTGAGACATTGCACAGAGCCACGGAGGAGCGGCTGAAGATGACTGACAGGAAGGAGTTTAGGGATGGGGAGTCAGGAAAGTCCAAGGCTGGTGGGCTCTGCCAAGGAAGCCAGAGGAAGCGCTTTCAGCTACCTTCTCATCAAAGGAGGCATCACCAGCCCCTGAGTTTCTTGAGAATGGGGACCACCCTTTACTTGCCTCTGAAACCCTCATGCCTGGCACAATGCTGGCGCATAGTAGGTGCTCAGTTTTTTGGTTTGTTTGTTTTTTAAGACAGAGTCTTGCTCTGTCGCCCAGGCAGGAGTGCAATGGCGCAATCTCCACTCACTGCAACCTCCGCCTCCAGGGTTCAAGCAATCCTCCTGCTTCAGCCTCCCAAGTAACTGGGATCACAGGTGCACACCACCATGCCCAGCTAATTTTTTTGTATTTTTAGTAGAGACAGGGTTTCGCCATGTTGGCCAGGCTGGTCTCAAACTCCTGACCTCAAGTAATGCACCTGCCTCAGCCTCCCAAAGTGCTGGGATTACAGGCATGAGCCACCATGCCCGGCCAGTTCATTTGTTCAGTGGAACTGAGTGAGACTTCAGGGCCCACTGACAGAGATGGGCCTGCCTAGCACTGCAGACCCGAGGCCTCCACTCTGAAAGGTGCCAGCCCGCTAAAGGAATGAAGGAGAGCTTGTTCATACCCAGCCATGAGGATCAGGGCAGCTGGAGGGCCACCACTGAGCTGTGTTTGGGGGCAGCCAGGAGCATGCGCTGCCAGACAGAGGACCCTTTCCAGGCTGGCTGAGGACAGAAGGATGTGATCATTAAGCAAAGCCAACATGTTACTGACCCATAATCCCTTAAACCAGGAGGATTCGGGAAGGGCCTGGTCGCCTTGGCAACTAGGTGCTGGCCAGTCGCAGGGCTGAGAGCATCCTCCAGGAGTGGGCTGTGCCTGGTGCTGGTGCATGGGTAACAGCTGGGAGCGGGTGCAGGGCGGCCCATCATAGGGCTCACCCCCTGGTGCCTTCTTGCCAGCATGGGTGGAAGCCCTTGTGAGGCCTCAAGGGCAGTGTGTGCAGAGCAGGATGAGAGGGGGGCTGCACTGAGCGTGTAGGAAACCATGAAGGGAAGTGGAGGGGAGGTGAGACAGCGCTGCTCTGGGTTTTCAGGGCAGGAGGGAGAAGGGAGGGTCTGCAGGAAGAAGCAGTTGCATGGGTCTCATTGGGTGGCCAGCAGGGCATCCTCTAATTCAGAGGGCACGAGGAGCTGGGTAGCCTGAAGAAGAAAGCTTTCATGGTTGGGGACAGGACCGTGGGGGTGGGCAGAGCAGCTTACCCCGCTCCTCCATGGTGTTCTCGGTAGGGGATACCTGCCTGCTTGGAGGGCTCTGGCATGGGAAGAGGCCTGCAGGGATCAAGCCTCATCTTCCCTAGGGCTCGACTCTATTAATGGCAAGCTTCCGTGTTTCCCCTGAGACCTTC
Organism: Homo sapiens; assembly: GCF_000001405.40. NCBI lineage: Eukaryota > Metazoa > Chordata > Mammalia > Primates > Hominidae > Homo > Homo sapiens. The sequence continues at coordinate 205,522,434 of NC_000001.11, forward strand.
CACTGCTCCTGACCTCCTGTATTTCAGCTGGAGAGAAGGTGCAGCTGGCCAGCTCTGATGCACTCTTCCCTTCCTCCTCTTTTTCCCCTCTTGCCTCCTGGGGCATGCCAGAGCAGAGACCTTCAGGTGTCAGTATCAGAGGTGAAATGAGGTTTGGACCCAATCATGTCCCAAGGGTGTTGGCCAAGCTGACATTCAGTTTACGGGCCTTGGTCAGTAAGATTTATTGGCTGTTGACACATTCAGGCCCTTGGACACAAGTTGGTAAATTTCTGCTGGTCCAAGGACTGCCTGGTTCTGGCACCCTCCCTGCCACCCCAGCCCTTCCCCCAGAACTCTCTAGACCTCCAGCAGCTAAAGGGCTTAGGTCTGGGGGGCCTTCAGGATCCTCTTTGCACATCATGCCTGCTATTATGACCAATACTTTGCTGGACTAGGTGGTCCATAGAGAACTGCACAGGGCGTGGCGGGGCGGGCGGTGGGCAGTGGAGGCAGTGCTGAGGGTCACTGGGAGGAAGAAGGTGACTGGGAAGAAGAGGGTGAACACCCACCCTCAGAGGGGTCAAACTTTGCAGAAGACACAACCCTGGCTCCCAGTGATGGTGGCATACAGGGCGACAGAGCTTGATGAGAGAGCTGAATTCCCAGTGGGTGGAGACCTGGACTGGTTGCCTTGTTCTTTTCAACTGCTCTTCTCACACTTCCCATCTCAGGACCCGGCTGCCCAGTCCCTCATGATCATGAACAAGATGAAGAACTTTAAGCGCCGTTTCTCCCTGTCAGTGCCCCGCACTGAGACCATTGAAGAATCCTTGGCTGAATTCACGGAGCAATTCAACCAGCTCCACAACCGGCGGAATGAGAGTGAGGGGTCTGGGCCCACCCAGCACCTCTCCCACCTACCAGACACTCCCCAGTCACCTTCCCCTCCCCGCCCACCCCCTCCCCACTGGCCTTAGGGGAGGAGCACAGCGCTGGGGGAGGGGGGCTACCCTTCTCTCCCTCAGGACAGAGAGGCAGGGAGGGGAGCTGACGCCTGTCCCTCTTAGACTTGCAGCTCGGTCCTCTTGGCAGAGACCCCCCGCAGGAGTGCAGCACCTTCTCCCCAACAGACAGCGGGGAGGAGCCGGGGCAGCTCTCCCCTGGCGTGCAGTTCCAGCGGCGGCAGAACCAGCGCCGCTTCTCCATGGAGGTAAGGGCCTCTGGAGCTCTGCCCCGGCAGGTGGCAGGATGCACGCACAAGGGTGTGCACAGGAGGGCAGCTGCCTTACAGCCAGACTTTGTGAGTTCAAATTCCACCTCTGCCATTCATTAGCTCTGTGACTTTGAGCAAGTTACTCAACCTCTGTGCACCATGGTCTCCTTGTCTTTAAAATGGTCATCATGGATTAAATGGGTTTATCTATGCCAAGTGCTTAGAACATTCCTGAATTTAGCAAGGGCTAGACAATTTGACTATTTGATCCACACACATATGCCCAAGTATATGAAAAAATATACTTACAGAATCGGTGCCTGTAAGGGCATGAGACTGATGTTGCACAGATGGTGATACTGTGGCCCAGAGAGGCAGAGAGTGACCTGGCTGTGCTAAGGTCACACAGCAGCCCCGGGTGTTCACGTGTATGTCTTGAGCACACACTGGGAGCAGCTGTGAGCCTGGGGTCACAGCCTGTGATTGGGCTCTGAATGGTTGTTCTGCAGGGAACGCTAGGTCCAGAGTGAAAGTCTGGAGCCCCACAGCCCTAGCTACCCTGAAACCAACAGTGGTGTCCCCATCTCATCCCTGTCACCACAGGACGTCAGCAAGAGGCTCTCTCTGCCCATGGATATCCGCCTGCCCCAGGAATTCCTACAGAAGCTACAGATGGAGAGCCCAGATCTGCCCAAGCCGCTCAGCCGCATGTCCCGCCGGGCCTCCCTGGTGAGTCCCAAGAGGGTCAGAGGACACAAGGTGGGGTGATATGCCCTCCCCAGCATGGGCATATCAGTCCCAGCTGAGGCCTAGATGGGATTTCGAGGAAGATTCCTGGGCCTCTGGTGCCACCTGCTGGCTTGAGTGCATTCAACTAGCTCGTCCTCCTACATCAACATCCATTTCCTAGATGGGTCTCACTTGGGCTGGAATGGGACTCTAAGCCCACAGTGGGTCCCACGGTCTCCACATGGTTAAGATCAATAGGCCAGCTGGCATGTGCCTTCCAGTCCTAACTGCCTATCAGAGCTGTTTGGGACATCTTACAAAACACAGACTCTACCTCCAGACACCTATAGAATCAGCCTCTCCGGCTAGGGGGTCCAGGAATCCGTCTTGTTAAGGGTTGGATACACCTGAGCTAGAAGTGCGCTGATGAGAGACACAGTCAGAGAGGTGGATTCTGAACTGGACACTCAAGGTACAATGGGAAAAAAGGCAGCACTCACTCTGGAGGAGCTCGTGGTCTCAGTCGGAGACACAGGTAGTCAAGATGTGCAACAATCCCAGGTGCCACAGCTCTGGGCTCTACACTCTTGGCTGTCCTGGGAGGAAGAAACTCACACTTTCACGAGCTCTGTCCTTTATCACAGGGATAAAGGGAAAAGGAGCCCCTTCCACCATGGAGTCTCATCCCTTCCCTCCCAGAGGCTGGAGTTGGGGGAGGCGTCATGTCTGTGGAGCTGCTAAGGGCTTCAAGCTCACGGCATTCTATGTCTCTCCCTCTCAGTCAGACATTGGCTTTGGGAAACTGGAAACATACGTGAAACTGGACAAACTGGGAGAGGTAAGACGCTGGGTTTGGTCTTCTCCGAATAGCCAGGCAGGATGGCTTGGAGGAGGGGCAGACCTCCCTAGTCGGCCCTCTCTGGTCGGCCCTCTCTGGTTGGCCCTCTCCTGGCCCCTGCCCCATAGAGGTGCACAGTCTTGGCTGTGCGCTCTGGCCCAGGCTTTGGCAGGGATTGAAGTGAGCTCAGATCCTGAAGGAGGGCGTGAGGATAGAGTAGCCATGGCCCTGGGCAGAATCCAGTCTTTTTTTTTTCTGCAAGTCCTTCTTGCCTGGGTTCAAAACCTAGCTCCACCATTTACTAGCTCTGTGACCTTTGGCAAGTTACATGACCTCTCTGTGTGCCTCAGTTTCTTCCTCTGTCCAATGAGACAGTAATTGTCCTATCACATAGGGTTATTGTGAGGATTGGGCAGGTTACTGTAATCAGCTTATGTACGGCACACAGACAATGCCTGGCACATAGGAAGTGCTGTGTCACTTAGCTATTTTTGTTGTCACTGTGCAGAGGCCTGGGGTGGGTGAAGGTTTATAGAGAGAGGGAACACACAGCCCTTTCCCTCCAGGAGCCCAAAGAGGTGACCTCTGTGTAAACATCAGCATCGTATAAGGAAGAAAAAACCTGGTGTTATCATAGACGGGCACGCGGCGTGCTGGGGCTTAGAGGAAGGACGGATTCACTCCGACTGGGGAGTCATTAGGGATGCTTCCTGGAGGAAGTAGGCTTTGGAGGAAACAGCATGTCAGTAAAGGGAGGAAGGGCACTCAGGCCCCAGTCGTAGCCCAGGCAGAGGCACAAATGGGGAGGCACTGGACAGAGGCCAGCAGCACCTGAATGCGCCTGGGGCCGCTGTGGCCCTCCATCCCAGGGCACCTATGCCACAGTCTTCAAAGGGCGCAGCAAACTGACGGAGAACCTTGTGGCCCTGAAAGAGATCCGGCTGGAGCACGAGGAGGGAGCGCCCTGCACTGCCATCCGAGAGGGTACAGCATCCTAGGCTCCCACGCTCCCCTGGGGGCTTCAGGAGGAGGGGTTCACCAGCCTGCACCCTTGTGGGAGCTGGGGGTAGAGGATCATTGCTGGAATGGGACTCCTGGCGCTGACCCCAAGAAAAGAGGGTATGGGGACACATGGGGTCCTAGGGACCCAGGTGGATCTGTCTCCTCACAGTGTCTCTGCTGAAGAACCTGAAGCACGCCAATATTGTGACCCTGCATGACCTCATCCACACAGATCGGTCCCTCACCCTGGTGTTTGAGTACCTGGTGAGAGTCCGGCTGGGGCTGGCCGCCTCTCCCTCTTGTGGTGGAAACGGGGTGTGGGTAGGGGAGTGGGAAGCTGAGGGAGTGGGAGTAGTGGGATGAGGGCGACCCAGGCCTTGTTCTGGAATCAGATTTTCAGATGCTCCCGTGCAGGAGTGGGCCAAGAGCTCAGGCTTACGGGTGGCTCGAGCCAGGGACCTGTCCCACTAGTGGGCGTGGGCCCTTCCCAGGGAGGGGCTTCCTCTCCTCAGCCTGTGTCTGGGCTTCTGGCCAGGGGTCAGCGTGGGGCAGGACTGAGCCACGCTCTGTGTTCCAGGACAGTGACCTGAAGCAGTATCTGGACCACTGTGGGAACCTCATGAGCATGCACAACGTCAAGGTGAGGCCTCGGGGGCAGGGTCCCCCCATCTTGGCAGCCACCTGTCCAGAAGCCCAGTGTGGGGACCCACTCTCACCACCAGGGATCCGGCTGCTGAGGTGGCTCAGACCTTCCCACGTAGGAAAGAGGGAGAGGGCAATGCCATCAACGAGTCCAGGAACTGGGTTGAGCGCTTTACCCCAAGAACAGACACACACTGTCTGCCACTGTCTAGCTGTTGGTATAAAACCCACTCTCAACTCTGAACATCAGTTTCCCAGTCTGTCAAATGGGAGTGTGAGCTACCTGCCAAAATGCAGGGAGGCTTCTGGGGAAGCTCGGGGTTATGAATGACCTCTCCTGGTGTTTGTTAAAGAATCAAGGCTGGGCATGGTGGCCCACGCCTGTAATCCCAGCACTGGGAGGCCAAGGCAGGAAGATGGCTTGAGCCCAGGAGTTTGAGACCAGCCTGGGCAACATGGCAAGACCTCATCTCTACTAAAAATTGAAAAATTAGCCGGGCACAGTAGCGTGCACCCATAGTCCCAGCTGCTTGAGAGGCTGAGGCAGGAGGGCCACTTGAGCCCGGGAGGTTGAGGCTGCAGTGAGCCATGATCACACCACTGCACTCCAGCCTGGGTGACAGAGTAAAACCCTGACTCTAAAAGAAAAAAAAAAAAAAAAGGGATCAAGCACATATGTCTCCACATAGGCGGGCATCCTGACCCCCGTGCTCCTGACTGAGACTTCGCTGGCCTCCCCCACACTCACTGCGTCCTCTGCACCCCTGCTGTCCTCCCCTCTGGATGGGATTCCCTGGTGTGGGTGGGGTCCAGGATGGGGGCTGCAGGGTGTGCAGGAGAATGAGGGGCTTGTGCTGACCTCACTGCCAAGCCCCTGCCCCCATCCTGGTCCCAGCCTTGGAGCAGAGGCTCAGGGCCACCTTCCACCCCACATTTCTCTTCCCCCTCCCCCAGATTTTCATGTTCCAGCTGCTCCGGGGCCTCGCCTACTGTCACCACCGCAAGATCCTGCACCGGGACCTGAAGCCCCAGAACCTGCTCATCAACGAGAGGGGGGAGCTGAAGCTGGCCGACTTTGGTGAGGCTGGGGCTAGGGTGGGGGTCTGACGCTACTGGGGTGCCTCAGGGTGTGGGTGCAGTGGGGGAGGGCATAGCAGTCAACCCCACAGCACCTGTGGACAGAGGTCCAGTGACATGTCTGCCCCCAGGACTGGCCAGGGCCAAGTCAGTGCCCACAAAGACTTACTCCAATGAGGTGGTGACCCTGTGGTACAGGCCCCCCGATGTGCTGCTGGGATCCACAGAGTACTCCACCCCCATTGATATGTGGTGAGTGAGCACTGTGGGGACCGAGGAGGGGAGGACAGGCCTGGCCACACCTCCAGACTCTCCTTTGCTTCCCCAAGGGCCTCGGGGAAGAACTGCCTAACTTCCTTTGCCTAAAAGCCTTGTGACATCCTGCTGAAATGGATGTTAAAAAATTAGGTCTGAAATATAATAGGTTAGGGTTTCCCTGGCTTAAATAGACCCCCAAGCCTGTGCATTTGAAATCCTCCCCCAGAGGCCTGTGGGGGGTTACCAGAGACCCAGAGGGTCCAGGAGGGCCCCTATAGTAAATACGATGAATCTTCCCCAAGCATCAGTCCCAGTGAAAATTTTGAAAGAGAAGTACTATTTTTATGTTAAAATGAACAAGTGTATGATTTGGTGTAAAATGAAAAATCAGCCCAAATTGCAAGCCAAGCCGCCGGTGGTTATGAATGGCTGCTGTGACTCCGCCCCAAGGTTCCCCAGGAGAATGGATTTATGTACTTCTCTTCCAGTGGGGCACACAGTGGAGAGAGTTTGAGACAACACTGCTGAGAGAATTGCCACATGGGCGCTGGCTGCACAGACCCAAACCTCACAGAGTGAAAGGGGACTTTCCTCACAGAGTGAAAGTCGCAGCTTTCCCGAGCCCAGGGAAGCCCCCCAGAGAGGGGCTGTAGTGGGGGCTGGGCAGTTCTAGGAGCCTCCACTGCCCTGGGCCACCCCTCCGCCGCCAGAGCCACGATCCCTGCAGCCGCCTGTGGCAGGTCGTCATTGGTGCCCTGGTGGAGCAGCCCTAGGAAGGGCGGCCGCCCCTGCCTGATGCCGACCCTACCCCTTGCTCCTCGCAGGGGCGTGGGCTGCATCCACTACGAGATGGCCACAGGGAGGCCCCTCTTCCCGGGCTCCACAGTCAAGGAGGAGCTGCACCTCATCTTTCGCCTCCTCGGTCAGTCTCCCGCTGCTCCGTCCCTCTCACCACCAGGGGGCGCCGGAACTCCTCCAGCCCAGGCGCGGAGCGGGACGGGGAGGAGCGGCTCGGCCGCCTCTCTCCCGGGCGGGGACCCCCTGTGGCCTCGGCCATCTTTGCTCCCACCTCATACATTGCATCCCTTTCAAGTCGGCCTTGGCCCTGGGCCTCACGCAGGCCCTCCCCACCCTCTCTCGTCTCCCCAGGGACCCCCACAGAAGAGACGTGGCCCGGCGTGACCGCCTTCTCTGAGTTCCGCACCTACAGCTTCCCCTGCTACCTCCCGCAGCCGCTCATCAACCACGCGCCCAGGTAGCCCCTGCGCCCGCCGCCCCTCCTGCTGCGGCCCTGGCTCTCCCATCCCCAATCAGGCACAGCCTGTGTCCGCGCCTTCTCCTTGCAGGTTGGATACGGATGGCATCCACCTCCTGAGCAGCCTGCTCCTGGTGAGTGTCCTCCCGGCGGGGCCCAGGGAGAGGCAGCCAAAGAGCCAGGTCCCTGTGCCCCATGCCGGGCCTACGCCCCAACTTCTGTGGCTCGTGTGCTTACACGTCTTTGAAACATCTCCCCTGTACTCTCCACCCCCAAGGCCAAGGGGTGGCCTCCATACACATCCTCTGGAGTCTGTGCACTGCGAGCCCAAACCCGTTACTTAGCTGTGTAGCTCTGGGCAAGTTACAGAGCTCCTCCATGCCTCAGTTTCCTCAGCTGCAAAGTGGGATTAATACCTATTTTATAAGATGGCCGTGAGGATACATTGAGATGACGGGACACACTTAGTGTGGTGCCTGTCTTGTAAGGCACACGATGAAGGGTTGTTATCGGCACTACGCTTCCTGTTACGGATGTTCTCCATCTGATCATGGTTGGTTTGCATCTGTATTTCTATCCCAAGAGAAGGTCACTCTCCTGAAGTTTCATTTCTGGTTTTTCCTGGTGGCTGGAGACCGAGGAGCCTTCCCCTGAGTCTTGAGATGGCCTGAGGTTGGGTTTGTGGTAGGGGCTGGAGGCTGACCTGGGGCTTCTCCTGTTAGCCTCAAGCCTCACCCACCTTGGTGCTCTAACCAGCACTGGAGTCCTGCTGCCCAGAGGGTTTGCAGCCCCCCAGCCGGGCCCAATAGCCCCACCCTGTGCCTTTCAGTATGAATCCAAGAGTCGCATGTCAGCAGAGGCTGCCCTGAGTCACTCCTACTTCCGGTCTCTGGGAGAGCGTGTGCACCAGCTTGAAGACAGTGAGTACTGGGGGTCCGGGAGCAGGGCCACCCAGAACCAAGGAAAGGGGTTGGTGAGTGTGGGCAGAAGAACCAGAACAAAGAGGCCAGAGGCCCCAGCCCCAGCAGAGCAGCCCCGGGCACCTTGCCTCCCCTGCTGGGGTTCTCATTCCAAATTGAGGGGGCAAACAGTGGAAATGAGACGCTGCCTCGAGGGCTCAGTTGGTCCTTCTGGGCCAGTCCTTACTGGAGGCCAGCTCCACGCAGCCCTCTCCAGACTATGCACTTCTCTCCCCCAGCTGCCTCCATCTTCTCCCTGAAGGAGATCCAGCTCCAGAAGGACCCAGGCTACCGAGGCTTGGCCTTCCAGCAGCCAGGTAGGGGCTTGTGCTCTCCTGGACCCCTCCCCTTGTTAGTGGAAGCCAGAGCAGGCGACCCCTCCCCAGTGGGGACTCCCATGGTCCCCCCACCACTGGCTTCCCTTTGGACTCTTTGGGGAGCAGAGAAGGGGTTGGTTTCTCCTGCCTAGACTTCCTCGTCCAGCTCTTCCCTCCTCAACCCTCCACCCCAGACAGGACATTGCATTTGACAGTAGCCCTGGCAAAGAGGCATGCTGTCTCTGGTGCATTCTCTCTGCAAACCCTGAGCTCTCTAATCAGATTCCATCCTGGGAGAACGGTACTTTGTTCCTAGAACAGTCAATGGCCTTGGACATTGACAAATGCTTTCCATGCATCGTCTTCTTTAATCCTTAAAATACCCCTTGAAGCTAGTACTATTAATATTCCCCATTTCATAGTCAATGAAACTGAGGCTCTGGGAGGTTAAGTCACAAGTTCATGCAGCTAGTAAGTAGCAGAGATGGGATTTGACACCAGGTCAGACCGGCTCCTGTTTGCATGCCCTTGCTTGCTCTGTCAGAGCAGCTCTGGGGGACAGCGACTGTCCCTGCTGACCTGGGGTACCCGTCAGCCCAGCCTCCTCCCTGCAGCCCCACCTCTTCTCCATTCTCCAGGACGAGGGAAGAACAGGCGGCAGAGCATCTTCTGAGCCACGCCCACCTTGCTGTGGCCAAGGGACAAGAGATCACATGGAGCACAAATTCGGGTAGGATGGAGCCTGTGTGGCCCTCGGAGGACTGAAGAACGAGGGCTGACAGCCAGCCTGGAAGACCGCTTGGCAGCCCTTCTGGCCACGGCTGTTTCTTCTTTGTGCTTCCCGTGTGCCTCCCCAGTAGCCCTCACCTGCATACCAACCCCTCCTTTACCCACGTTGGGGCTGGCATAAGCTGCTTCCCTGAGAGGACATGAGGGGGGGGCGGTCCTCGTACCCTCTCCCACCCTGGTGTTTGGGCACCTGCGTGGGATGCACACGGATGACAGAATCAAGGCGCCAGGATGGGCACTCTGCCCTGGATACAGGCTCTACCCTCCTCCCCCAGGACCTGCCTAGTGCCAGTTTGGTAGTCCCCCTTTCTGGCCCCTTGGAGCCCACACACGTTTCATCTTTTTCCCCTCTGAGAGCAAGAAGAGACATGGCATGTTCTCTGGGACCCTGGAATCCTAGGTACCCACATGTGTGCCAAAGCCTACCCCACCTGGCAGGTGTCCCACAGCAACAGAAGGAATAGTAGTCCCCACTCTTTCCATCAGCCCTACCCTACCCTCATTCCCCGACACCCTCTGGCTTGAACCATGGCTGAGCAGTGCCGGCATACGCTTTGCTGGCATGCTTGGATGCCCAGCTGTGTCCAGAGGTGGCCTGGGACCGCCAGTTGCACGCCTGCCACCTCAGCCAGCCCCCGCCCAGCTCATCAGTCTGAATGGAGTTGCCTTAAATTGGCAGGTGGTACCGTACTCACTGCCCTTGGAGCTGTGACCGGCTCCTGCCTGTCCACCCCTTCCCGAGGTGGCTCCTGCTTACCTTATCATCCCAGGGCTCTGATTAGCCAGGCCTGGTCAGGGTCCTGGGGACGGCACCCAGATATGCAGAGTCACCCTGACACTGGTGCCAGGCTGACCTCAGCTCCCGAAGGCTCGCACAGCCTCCCCATCCTTCCTTCCCAGCCCTTGTGGCTCTGTCCACCTGATCCCAATACCAGCTTCCCCCAGCCCCTGCCACCCCAGAGGGCGGCCACGACAGGGAGAGGTGTAGATGCCACCATCTGAGGGAGAGGAACGTGGAACAGGAGCAGGCTCTGATGCTGAGAGGCTTGCCTCCGGGGGCTGGAAGCCTGGGTGGCCGGGGCCCCTGAAGAAGGCTCCCCTCTGTATCCCCCAGGTCTCCTCAACACTGGGCTGATCCTGAATGGCACAGGCCAAGGGGAGGCCAGCCTCGCCTTTCTACCCAGGCCCCCTGCCCTGCCCACCTCAGGCCCCCACCCTCCACTCCTCCCCACGGTACTGTGAACGTCGTGTGACTCAGTGCAGAGACAGATAATATATTTAATTCATGTACAGAAAGGAGCGAGCAGTCTCGTACAGAAAAGCTGACTTTGATAGATTGATGCCAAAGATGGAGAACTGAAGTCCCCCCTCCAGGCCTAATGAGTGTGGGTGGGGTGTGCTTGTGTGTATGTGTGTGTGTGTGTGTGTGTGTGTGTGTGTGTGTATATATATATATATATATATATATATATAGTGAGGAGAGAGTTTGATTTGTGTGTATCTCTGACCTCCCCTACACCCCAGGCTGTGGGACGAGTGCCTAGCATTCACCTTGCTGTATCCTGGGTGCTGCTGCGTTCAGAGCCAGAAGTTGGCTCTTGCTGAGGAGCATCAGTGGTTGTTGTGGGTGGGCAGAGGAGTCCCAGGCCTGGGAGTCTGACCTGTGGCCTGGCATTGGCCCAAGTTGGTGCCTGTGGGGTGGGGCTGGCCAGGAGAGCAAAGAGGGACCCCTGGGCGGGGGTCTGGGGTCTGGCCGTGCAGCTAATCCCTGTGTTCCTGATGCCAAATGGCCCCCTGGCTTCTGGGGAGGGAGGTAGGCAAGATCAAGATGAGGTTGACATGGGAGATGGCCAAGGCCAGGGCAGCAGGACGAGGGTGTGGGCCTCACTGTAATTCAGGCTCTGCAAGAATTGCTGCAGACCTCGAATACACCTCCTGCTGCTGCCTAGACCGCCTCCCCACCTTTGATCTGGACACAACCCACCCCCGCAACACATCATACACAGCTCCCAAAGTGCTCAGAGTCCTGCTGTTGTCCAGTTCGGTGTCCAGGTTTGTTCTTCCCGAGACCACTCTGAGAATGCCAGGCCCGAAACCCTGCCTCCTGACCTGTCCTCATGCCTGGCCTTAAGCACTTTGCAGTTTGCCGGCATGGTTTGCAGTTACTTAAGAGGGTGGCTGCTTTCCAGAGGAGGAAGCTGATGCTGAGGTTGATGATGTCTCCCAAGGCTCTGGAAGTAAGGGGCGGGCCAGGGCTCCATTCTCAGCTCAGCACCAGTTCTACCGAAGGAGACCTCCTCACTTTGCTTGTAGGCAGCCAGACACCAAAGTAGGGTCGTAACTCAGACAATTAGTGCTTGAGGGGAGGAGAAGGGCTGGGAAATGCATTGGTGGGAATTGGAAACCAGACATTTATTAAGTTCCCTGCTGGGTGCCAGGCAGCCCTGTGCCCAGGCATTGTCTCACTGAATCCTCATAGAAACCCCCCTTTCTCCCCACTTTGCAGATGAGGACAGGAGCCTCCCAGGGGTAGCCTGGGGTCACATACCAAATTAGAATCCCAGGTGTCTGCCCCCCAGCCCTGTGGTCTTTAAGGAGTGGGAGGCGTGGGGAGGGTGAGGTGGAGATAGTGCAGAGGCCCTGGAGGGAGGAAAACACACAAGGAAGGATATGGGCAGATGCTGCCTTGAGGAGCACTTTGCAAGGCAACTCTTGTGGCAGGCAGAGGTGGCCCAGAGTCGCTGGGGGCAGCCGTTCTTGCTGCTGCAGCTGTGGCCCTGCTGAGGAGGCACACACCTAGGGGCTTCTGACATCAGGCATGCTGAGCTTCTGCCCTAGAAAGCTGCCAGGGCTGGGAGTGCCGGCCAGCCTGGGGGTGTGGAACTCAGCTGGACAGGCCTACACCAGGCCTTGGATATGATTGGTGCTCAAAAAGTGATGGCTCCGGAGAAGGAAGCTGGGTTCGGGTGTGAAGAGGGGCTGAGTGATTTTGGCCATGAGCTGCCACTGGGCTCCCAGGGACCAGGCTGAGCTACAACCCAACCCAGTGTCCTGGAGCCCTCGGTTTCCTGGGCACCCCTGCAATCATTTCCTTATGCCGGTGACTCTCAAAAACAGGAGCCTGCCCCATTCTGCTGGAATCCCCGGCCCAAAGCAGCCTTTTACAAGTCATTCCCCCTCAGGCCTCACTTGTCACCTGCCTGCTTCTGGGACAGGTCAGGAATATCCAGGGTGCAGATGCCGTCCCCTCCACCATGGCCACTTGGCAGGGGCATTTGAGGCATGTAGCAGCCCTGCAGCTTCAGACAAAATGTCCTATTTGCTGAACTCTACAGGGTGGGGGTGATATCAGCTCCTGTGCTTGGCACTGCCCACATCATCTTGCACCCCGGTGGGACCTGGAGCTCGCTCTCCCCTGCCCCACCCTCCTGTGGGCTCCCATTCACCCTGCCCCTACTCTCTGGGTCCAGTGGTCAGGGCTGATGTCTAATAGGCCACCACTCCTCTACCCTGCTAGGCCCCCTGGGTCAGCCAAGTGTCAGACACTGTTGCAGGCCTGCTCCTTTCCTCCCTTCTTGAAGCATCCCAGCCTCCTTTGGGCCATCTCCCCACCTCTATCACTGCTCAGACCCTTGCTTTTGGCCGTGACACTCTACAGCACCCCAGTGAGCCCCTCTATCTCCAGAGCAAATCATCAGCACCATGAATTAGCCACAGCCTCCTCCATGCCTGGCCCTGTGCTAGATGCCAGGGACACCAAGATGCATGACATTCCACCCCTACCTTCCAGAAGCTCAGACCTGCCGGCAGAGATGGCCTTGATTACAACAGGTTTTCTCAAGAACCCACTGTGCACCCGGTGCTGTGCTAGGCACTGAGGATACAGCCGTGAACAAGATGGCCAAGCCCTACTCTCATAGAGCTTATGTTCCAGTGGGGGGTATAAGACGTTATCCAAACCAACAGGCATATCAAGGGGTCATAAGTGTGATGAGACAAAATAAGGCAGGGGCAGGTTTGAGGGGGAAGAATGTGATGGCATAGGGAGGGGAACTGCCTGGTCAGGGAGGGACCTCTCCATCAAAAATGAGCTATGGGCTGGGCGTGGTGGCTCACACCTGTAATTCTGGCACTTTGGGATGCCAAGGCAGGCAGATCGCTTGAGCCCAAGGGTTTGAGATCAGCCTGGGCAACATAGCGAGACCCCGTCTCTATTTAAAAAAAAATTAGCTGGGTGTGACGGCTCATGCCTGTAGTCTCAGCTACTCAGGAGGCTGAGGTAGGAGGATCACTTGAACCCAGGTCGAGCCGCAGTGAGCAGTGATCATGCCACTACCATCCAGCCTGGGCAATGGAGTGAGACCCTGTACCAAAAAAAAAAAAAAAAAAAAAAAAAGTGAGCTATGTTGTGTAAGGGGGCCAGGTGGACAGCCAGGGACAGAGTATTCCAACAAAGGCCCTGAGGTGAACGTACTTGAGAATGAGTGAGAGGCAGTGAGGCCAGGGCACAGTGAGCCAGGCAGCATGGCAGGAGGGATGTATCATGTGGGGCAGTGGCTCTGCCCATTAGATCCACCTGGGAAGTGCTTAAGATCCACTGCCATCCGGCCCCAGCTCAGATTGATTCAGATGACCCTAACATGTATCCAGGGTTGAGAACCGCTCACTCGTGCGGGGTCTTGCGGGCTGTGGTACGGGTTCTGGATTTTATTCTGAGATGGGAAGCCACTGGCCTCTGTTTTTAAAGGCTCAGAGGGTCAAATAGGAGATGTCAGCCCCTATAAGGAGGGTGATGGGGCAGGGAGAGGAAGGATCCCCCAGGTGGTGGTAGAGCAGCAGCAGGTGTGGTGGGAAGGGAGAAGGGAAGCACCTGCTCTCCTGTGTTGCTGCGAGAGGGACTGTCATCCTAATCCCAGGGAGGGCCACAGAGGCTCTAGGGTTAGGTGACCTGCATGGCCACACAGGGAGTAAGGTGGACTGTCAATTACAACCCAGGTCAGCCTACCTGAGCAGCTGCCTCCGGGCAGGTGTGGGCACTGGCACGGACACTCCACCTCACTTGTTTGCATGGAGGATGGGCATCTGGTTTCCAGGGACTGGGAAATCCTTGCCTTCTGGTCACCTAAAAGCATTGTCTGACAGGCAGCCAGTTGACACCTGGGGGTTGGGCAAAAGTCACTATCCCCCACCCCACCAAGTGCCCCCTGAGTGATGACTCAGCCCCTCTTCCGGACCCTCAGAACCTCCCACCATCTGCCAACTAAAAGCATCATTGGGCACCAGGGCCCTGCTCCCGCCCTAGCTGTGGAGGCCCGGTGGCTGGCATCATTGCTGATGGTCAGTGCCCAGACTCCAGGGAGTGTGTGCCAATTCTCCTAGACAGGACGGGTGGGGCCAAGGGCAGCTCTGATGAGATTGCAGGTGCCACGTGGCCACTCCCGCTTCCTCCCTTGTTTTCTCCTCTTCCTTCTTCCTGCTTCTTTTTACTTCTCTCAGTGCCCCTTGGGGGCACTAGGTATTACTCAGTGGGCGGCCCTGAGTAATACTGAAACCCAGAGATCAATAATTTGACCCAGCCTCTTGTCTAAGGAAGGAGATTTTGCAGCCTCTCCCTTGAATCAACCCAAGCCTCCAGTCCCTGAGATGTGTTCTCAATGCCAAGCATCAACCCTTGCTCCTGCATCCCTGGGCCCTTCCTGGTGATGTGACGCAAACATGGAGAGCTGAAGCATGGACAGGGCGTGGCAGGGAGGATCCCCGCTGCCCTCCTGCATGTGGTCAGCACTCCTGCTTGCCCCTTTCTGGGCTAGAAACTTCTAGCCCAGTTCCTCATCTTCCTGTCTCCTCCAGAGCTCCTCCCTCCCTAATTTACTCATTATCCATCAGATGGTTCCAGACTCTGTGCCAGGCTCTGTTTTCAGTACCCAGGATACAAACTTGACCCTGACTTAGACCCCACTCCCAGGAGCTCAGCATCTCAGAGGCGGCTAGGATAATCTTTTCTTCCTCTCAGCTTCTTAAGGTCTCAGCTACTTGGGGGAAAGACAGTTGTCCATTAGTCATTCTATTAAAATTTCCTAAGGTTTTTTTTTTTTTCAAGAACAATAAAATGTTTTAATGTCCTCATGTTTTCCCTGGAGGAGAGATTGGCTAAGTCCTAGGTTCCTGGGAAGAAGGAATCTTGAACAACCAGGGAAATAACACACAGGCTCCAAAATCACAGACTTGGATTCAAATCCCAGCTCTACGGCTTGCAAGCTGTGTCACCTTGGGAATGTTCCTTAACTGCTCTGTGCCTCAGTTTCCCTCTCTGTAAAACGGAGATAGTGATAACACCTATTTCACAAGGTTGTGAGGATTTAAGAATGAATATTCAGGCCGGGCGCAGTGTCTCATGCCTGTAATCCCAGCCCTTTTGGAGGCCGAGGCGGGTGAATCACTTGAGGCCAGGAGTTCGAGACCAGCCTGGCCAACATGGTGAAGCCCCATCTCTATTAAAAATACAAAAATTAGCCGGGCGTGGTGGTGGACCCCTGTAATCCCAGCTACTTGGGAGGCTGAGACAGGAGAATTGTTTGAACCCAGGAGGTGGAGGATGCAGTGAGCTGAGATCGTGCCACTGCACTCCAGCCTGGGTGACAGAGTGAGACCCTGTCTCAAAAAAAAAAAAAAAAAAAAAAAGACAAAAAGAGAATGAATATTCAGGAGGGGCCTGACCCAGAGTGCTAGGTGAGTGAGCTTCACATCCTCACTCTGCACACTCCCACCCACTTCTCCACAAGCAGGAATTCCAGCTTCCTCCCTCCTGGAAGTAAAGTGGAAGATCATATGCTTTTATTTCTTGCATTCTTCACTCTTGATAAGATCTCAATCAGCAAGAATGTATTAAGAACATCCTACTTAAAAGATTTTGCAAGACTTTTAAAATGACCTCAGCCCAGAGTTTTTTCTCCACGGAAGCTTTAAACGTAGCTGGGGAAGTAAACATGGAAAGAGAATTTATGATAAAAGGCACTGGGTCAGGCGTCACTCAAAGTGGATCCGCTGCCTCTTGAGGTAGTAAGTGCTTTGTCCCCCAGACTGGGAAACCACTTGGGAATTCCAGGGGCATCACTGCCTCTGGTATGTCTTGCCAGGTTCCTGAGGAGCCAGCAGCCAGATCTGCACCTGGCCTGACCCTATTCCTTGGATCTTTCTTTTTTGCTGTGCGGAGTAGCAAGGTGTAACTGGCAGATGAGATACCTTCCTCAGAGAAGCCAGAGGAATGTGGCAAAGCATGATCCTGGGCTTGCAAACACCCTTCTCCTTGGATTCCAGGATGCCAGGGGTATCCTCTCAGGCCTGTCACTGGCTTTGAGGCCAGACTTGGCTTTTCAGGACCTGAGACTGATTCTGGGGTGTGGGAATGAACTAATCTGGGACTTTTTTTTCTTTTTTTTGAGACAGTCTCACTCTGTTGCCTAGGCTGGAGTGCAGTGGCATGATCTTGGCTCACTACAACCTCTGCCTTCTGGGTTCAAGCGATTCTCATGCTTCAGCCTCCCAAGTAGCTGGGATTACAGGCATGTGCCACCATGCCCAGTTAATTTTTGTATTTTTAGTGGAGATGGGGTTTCGCCCTGTTGACCAGATTGGTCTTGAACTCCTGGCCTCAAGTGATCCACCTGCCTCGGCCTCCCAAAGTGCTGGGATTACAGTCATGAGCCACCATGCCCAGCCCACAATCTGAGATTCTTAAAGCTCGAGTTGATGAGAGTAGGAGGGCCACCTCAGGGAACAGGAGATGGGGCCAGAGGTTAGGGCTCAGTACTGTTTCCTGCCTTGGGCAGATGCCTTGAGTGGGTACCTTCAGCCACCTGTGATTCCACACCTCCAGCCAGTGTTCCACTTGGTAATGGAATTTACTGCCTGGCTTCTCTGTAGAAGATGAGTGGGGGTGGGGCGAGGTTGAGATTTATAAGCAATAGAGGCAGTGCTGTGCCAGGCTGCCTCAGCCTAAGTCCTGGCACCACCACATCCTAGTTGTATGAACTTAGCCACATCGCATGGCTTCTCTCTGCCTCAGTTTCCCCACCTACAAAATGGGGTGATCATAGGATGAGTGTGGATTAAATGAATTAGTACATGAAAAGCACGCAGAGCCCAGGCACGGTGGCTCACACCTGTAATCCCAGCACTTTGGGAGGCCGAGGCGAGCAGATCACAAGGTCAGGAATTCGAGACCAGCCTGGCCAACCAACATAGAGAAACCCCGTCTCTACTAAAAATACAAAAATTAGCCAGGCATGGTGATGCACACCTGTAATCCCAGCTACCCAGGAGGCTGAGGCAGGAGAATCGCTTGAACTGGGAGGCGGAGGTTGTGGTGAGCCAAGATTGCGCCACGGCACCCCAGCTTAGGCAACAGAGCAAGACTCCGTCTCAAAAAAAAAAAAGAAGAAGAAGAAGAAGGAGGAGAAGGAGGAGGAGGAGGAGGAAGAGGAAGAGGAAGAGGAAGAATAAGAAGAAGAAGAGCACGCAGAATTTACTGGTCATGTAGAAAGCATTACACAGTGTAAGCTGTTGTTATGTCATCTTTCCCTGAGGGTAGAAGCAGGCATCACCCACCTTCTCTGTTTCACTGTGAGGGCTGTGACCAGGAGGCAAAGGCTTCTTACTAAAAGGAGGAATGGTTCCGTGGGGCACACAAGTGAATAAAACCCTTTCTGTCTATGGAGAACTACCTGTCCTCCCAAAATGCCATTAGAGTTTGGGAATTCTGGTGTCCCTTACTCTAACAGATACCGATGTTAGGCAAAAGGCTATGAACTTAACAAACATTACCTAAATTTTAAAACTTTTTAAAAGTTAAGAGACAAATCTTTTGGGGGCCAGGCACGGTGGCTCACGCCTGTAATCCCAGCACTTTGAGAGGCCGAGGCAGGTGGATCACCTGAGGTCAGGAGTTCAAGACCAGTCTGGCCAACATGGTAAAATCCCGTTTCTATTAAAAATACAAAAATTAGCCGGGCATGGTGGCATGCACCTGTAATCCCAGCTACTCAGGAGGCTGAGGCACAAGAATTGCTTGAACCCGGGAAGCGGAGGTTGCAGTGAGCTGAGATGGTGCCACTGCCCTCTAGCCTGGGCAACAGAGTGAGAGTGTCTCAAAAAACAAAGAAAAAAAAACTCCCTGGGTCCAGGTCCGGTACTCACACCTGTAATCCCAGTGCTTCAGGAGGCTAAAGCGGGAGGATTACTTGAGGCAAGGAGTTCGAGACCAGGCTGGGCAATATAGCAAGACCTTGTTTCTACAAATATTTAAAAAGTAGCCAGGCATGGGGGTGCATGCCTGTAGTCCCAGCTACTCTGGAAGCTGAGGCAGGAAGAGCGCTTGAGCCTAGGAGTTTGGGCTGCAGTTAGCTCTAATTGCACCACTGCACTGGAGCCTGGGCGACAGGGCAAGACCTTGTCTCAAAAAAAAAAAAAAAAGTCTCCTTGGCTTAGACCACTCTGTGAAACACTAGAGATTCAGAAATAAATAAACAGTGTTCTATCCTCAAGGAATTCACAGCCTGGTAAAGGAGAGAGATATCGGTTGCAGAAATGTGGTAGGGATTATCCCAGAGATTGTAAACAGCTGCCCAGATGACTTGCTCCTTCCACCTCCCTCCACTCCCCTTCCTCAGCCCCTGCAGTACCTACCTGGTTTGCAAGCCTTGTAAACTGAGTTGGGCCTCACTGCTAGGCTCATAGCTGTGAATGAAAATATGAGTGAATACAAACATGAAATGTCTGCTACATTAGGAACTTGCTGGAACCCACTCTTGCCTGGCCAGCTCTCTCCCTTCCCTTCCATGCAGCAGCAGGCACCTCGGGCTACCCCTGCTGCCTTGAGCTTAGACTTTAGACTCGAGTCCCCATTTACAGTCACGGGGTACAGCCAATCTTGTTTCTAAGGTGTTTCCAAACTCTACTCCCCAACCTCCACTCCTAGGTGTTCCTGGGCTGCAGAGGGCCTCCAGAGAGGCTTCAGGACATTCCACTGACTGTCCCACTGTCACCACTAAGGGTTGAGCCTCCTCGCTAGCAAGGTGCCTAAGCCCCTTGTACCCTGGCTCCGACTTCTTTGCATACTCTGCAATCTTGCTACTAGACCAAGGACCCATTTTCCCCAAGGGCACCTCCTACCTTAAGCCCTTGTGCCTGAGTCTGTCCACGTTCCCTCTGTTTGGACTTCCTTCCTTCCTTCCAGCTCCCTGCAGCACCAGTTCCAGTTCAGTCACTGTGCCTTGGGCAAACTCCCTCACCTGGCTGAGACCTTGGTGCTTTTGTCCCTACAATGAAGGTGGGTCCTGGATGCCCTCAGAGTCTCATTCTTGCTCCTGGATGTTACATAAACCTGTCTGCTGTCACTTTCGTGTTTTATAATCCCCCCTCTTCTTCTTTCAAACATGCCTCAAACTCCCTTCCTCCAGGAAGCCTTCCTTAATCAGCCCCGTGAATGCTCCCATATGTGCTCAGTTCTGGTGGTAGCAAGTGGGCCTATGCCAGTGCTGGTGCCAAGGGGTCCACAGGGGCCTTAGCTCCCTCATAACCTCCATTGCCTGAAAGGCCACCCAAATACCTATAACCTAAGTGAAAAACAGAGCTTAGCATAGAAACAGTGACCACTTCTCAGTAAATCCCCCAAGCATTCTCCCAATCCCCAACCAGACCTACCCCAAGCCAGACAGTCTAGAAATTCTAGTTGTCTATAGTCTACACTTTTTATTTTTTTGGAGACGGAGTCTCGCTCTGTCACCCAGGCTGGAGTGCGGTGGCGTTATCTTGGCTCACTGCAACCTGCACCTCCTGGATTGAAGCAATTCTTCTGCCTCAGCCTCCCAAGTAGCTGGGACTTACAGGCACATGCCACCATGCTCGGCTAATTTTTTGTATTTTAGTAGAGACGGGCTTTCATCATGTTGCCCAGGCTGGTCTTGAACTCCTTAGCTCAGGCAATCCGCCCACCTTGGCATGCTGCTCTCAGCGCACACAATGGGCATGGGAGAACAATGACGAGGAGAAAAACATCCCGCCCGCGCGTCCATGGGCTCACATCCTCCTTTCCCAAAGTGAAAGGATTACAGGCATGAGCCACCGCACCCAGCTTAGTCTACACTCTTGTATCTAGGTTTTCAGTGTCTAAGTCTCTTTCTTGGGTTTAAGTTGTAAGCTGCCTGGGATGAAAAGCGCCATGCCTTCTAATTCCTGGCTGTGACCTCCCCCAGTGGCTTTGTCAGAGGAATGACACCACCTGGTGACCAAGTATTTTTTTAAATAATTATTTGGGTTTTTGTTTGTTTGTTTTTATTTATTTTTTGAGATGGAGTTTCACTCTTGTTGCCTAGGCTGGAATGCAATGGCACAATCTCGGCTCACTGTAACCTCCGCCTCCCAGGTTCAAGCAATTCTCCTGCCTCAGCCTCCCAAGTAGCTGGGATTACAGGTGCATGTCACCATGCCTGACTAATTTTGCATTTTTAGTAGAAACGGGGTTTCACCATGTTGGTCAGCCTGGTCTCGAACTCCTGACCTCAAGTAATCCACCTGCCTCAACCTCCCAAAATGCTGGGATTACAGGCGTGAGCCACCGCGCCTGGCTAATGTTTTTAATAATTATGAAAATGCTTTCACGCCCAGTAGCCCTTGTTGCCTCACCTTCTGTGAGGGAAACAGAGCATGCACGATTTCCCCATTTCAGTGGATGGGGAAACTGAGGCTTTGGGATTTTGAACTCCTTGCACATGGGAGGTTAAGTGGCAACACTTGGCCTCCTACCAGGCACACCCCTGCCCCAACGCTGTGCACCGTAGGTCAGTAACTCTGAACTGTTTTGTTTGCCAGCTCAGGTTTTAATCCGTTTCAGCATCGGGCCGTGAGCAGTGGCCGCGGGGCTAGCAGGAGAGCCAGAATAAGCAGATTTGGCTTCTAATCTGACTCACCCAACTGGTTCAGAATGCAGCCAAACCGGGGAAATTTGGGTGAGCTCCTCCTCTTCCCCTCCCTCACTTGCTCTCGCAGTTGTCCTCTAGCACCTCTCTCTATCCCTCCCTCCCCGTCCCCCCGCCCCACTCCCCCAGCTCTGGGAGCGCATGCGGGGGCGGGGTCCTAGGAGGATGTGAGCCCATGGACACGCGGGCGGGATGTTTTTCTCCTCGTCATTGTTCTCCCATGCCCATTGTGTGCGCTGAGAGCAGCACGTCACCAAGTCGCCTGGCAGGCTCTCAGCAGAGCTGGGGAATGTTTCCGGAGTGGACTAATCCATTATGAATGGCCGAAACTTTTTAAAAGCTCTGGCGTTTCTTTGCATGGCCAGACTGGGAGAGCCAAAGAGAAGGAAGGATTTGGAAACTCCTGGCTTTGAGGCTACAGGTCCCAGGGACCTTGGCAGACCCGTGGTTTGCCAAGAGGGCCTTTCAGACTGGGCCTGCCACCCAGTGAGGGATCTAGGAATGTCACGTGGAGGGGAAATGGCAGGTGGGGCCGTGGATGGAGGGCTCAGCTGGAGGTGTGGAAGGAGTCAAAATTGTATTATTTTTTGTTTACAACACCTGACCCCAACTTGGGACTTGGGATGGCTCACACCTGAGTATGGGAAAGGACCTAGTCACCTTTGAAAGCTTCACTGAGCTCCCCCCAGAGGAAATGGAAAGTCAGAATTGTTTTGAAGTGGGTCAGTGTTTGCCAGTGGGTGAGTAATGCTCAGTGCTCCCAGCTCTTTCCTCCCAGAGAAAGCATTCCTCTATGCATCCCTCTCTTTACCACTAGGCTGGGGGTGCCATCTCTCCGAGGTGCCCAGTGCTTTGCGTACATTTCTTCATTGTTTGATTGGTCTTGTGAGAATCAACTCACAGCAAGACCAATAAGCTTGTGTAGTAACCTATTTCTTTAGATGAGGAAACTGAGTTTCACAGAGACTGAGATTGCTCCAGACCACGCAGCTACTTTGTGGCAGAGCTGGGACTGGAACCCAGGTCTGTGACACTCCAAAGTCCATGTTCTGCGACAGAATTTCTCAAGCATTCAGGTGCATAAGTGATGGCTGGGGTGCCAGCCGAGAGTGCAGATTTCTGGGCGCTGTCCCCTCTTCCTCATCCTAATTCAACAAATCAGAGTTGGGGGCAGGAATCTGCATTTTTGACAAATAACAGGTGATTCGGAAGCGGTTGGGGCAAGGTTGAGAAACACTGACTTGGGGCTCTGTTGTTGTTGTTATTGCTTGAGACAGAGTCTTGCTCTGTCGCCCAGGCTGGAGTGCAGTGGCACGATCTTGGCCCATTGCAACCTCCACCTCCCAGGTTCAAGCAGTTCTCCTGCCCCAGCCTCCCAGTTAGCTGGGATTACAGACGTGTGCTACCACGCCTGGCTAATTTTTTTTTATTCTCCAATTTAAAACTTTTAATTAAAAAGTAAACTTCAATGTCAAAAATGCAAACTTGGGGAGGGCAGAAGTATCACCCACAAGGCTGTCACTTCACACTTGGAGGGTTGCACAGCGGCCAGGCAGAGGCACTCCTCACATCCCAGATGGTGGGCGGCGGCCGGGCAGAGGTGCTCCTCACTTCCCAGACAGGGTGGCGGCCAGAAAGAGGCACTCCTCACTTCCCAGACAGGGCGGCGGCCAGAGAGAGGTGCTCCTCACTTGACACGTGGCTAATTTTTGTATTTTTAGTAGGGATGGGGTTTCACCATGTTGAGCAGGCTGGTCTTGAACTCCTGACCTCAGGTGATCCCGCTGCCTCAGCTTCCAAAGTGCTAAGATTACAGGCGTGAGCCACCACGCCCACCCAGGGCTCTGTTTTATGACGTCAGCCAAAAGAGCAGCAACCTGGTCTGAAAACAGGCGCAGGCTAGGGCCCTGCTGAGCCCTCAAGGGGCGGCCCTCTCCCCTCACTCCGCCTTCACCTATAGAGTGAAACCCAAGAGAAGTAGCCCCATCTCTCAGAAGGCAAAGGACCCATCTTCTGCCTAGAAAATCTCCCATTGCACTTTATAACATTTTCAACCCCCAGAGAGAAACCTGAACCACACCGGAACATTTAGTCATCCCTCAGAGGTTTATGGGCCCCTTGCCATGAGTAGGGGTTGGGACAGATACCACTCAGATGGGTGTAAAGCAGGTTTCTCAGAGATGGGTGCATCAGGACCCTCCTGCTTCAGAATTATCTGAGGGTCTGCTAAGAATGCAGAGTCCTGGGCCCTACCCCAGACCTCCAAAGTCAGAATCCCTGGAGGATGAACTCTGGGAATCTGCATTTTAAATACTCTCCTCAAGCAATTCTGTAGCAAGTAGACGTTTGAGAAGTGGTTTCCTGAGAGTCTGGGAAGGAAAGAAACTGGAAACGCTGTAGCTTTGGGTCCTGCGGGTTAAAGACCACAGTAAGACACCCAAACTACATTTGTCAGCCGGGAATCCCTGGAGTGCAGCTGTGGATTTGTGAAAGGAGAGCTGCACATGGCACGTGGAGGTCTGGGTTTGAATCCTGGCTTGGCTACTCTGTGATTCTGGACCAGTGACTTAATCTCACGGAGCTCAATTCCTCACATGCCAAATGGGATACTCTAGTCCACCTCCCAGCATCACCATGAGGACCTAGTGAGCATGCCGCAGCTCCGAATGAACAGCGCGGGCTTGTGCTGCCAGGAGCTCATTCTGCATGATGTGGCTCTAGGCAATGCCATCAATGGGCTCCTAGTAGCCTCAAGCTGGAGCAGACCCACTTCACTCTGCTGGGGAGCCAAGGGCTGGGGTGGGGTGGCTGGTTAGAGTTCAAAATCAGACTCTGGACCCATGGGGTGGCCCAGGGTACCCAAAGAGGGTCAGGGGTCAAGCTGTGCCTCACAAGACCCTGAAAAGGAAAGTGTAACCCTAGCAGGATAGCCTCGTGGTTAAGGGCATAGGCTCTAGAGCCAGAGGGCTCAAATCCTGGCTAGTGTACTTGCTAGCTGAGCGACCTTGGGCCACTTACTTCACCTCTCTGTGCCTCAGTTTTCTTATGTGTAATATGGAGATATAAAAAACATACCCACTTCCCTGACACAGGGGAAAAGTCCTCAAAATATGTCACACAATATTAGCCATTATTGACTATTAATGGAAGGATTTTATGCATGGGGAGTCTTTTAATAGTTGACTTCATAGTTGTCTGTGTCTGTGCAGGGCTGTGTGCCCTCCACATCCAAGTTTCTCCCTGGCTGCCCTAATCTGGAGATAATGCTGAAAATGGAGCCAGATGTCCAAGACTTCCAGCTGGGATTTATCCTCTTGGTAAATCTGCTAGGGTATAAGGATAAGGATGAAAGCAACGACAGCCAGATTAGGAAGTATCTCTATTAGTATCTCTTAAACCAAGGCTGCTTAAGAGAAAGCATAGATGGACATAAAAGGAATTTGACACCTGCTCTTCTCTCTTTTTTTTTTTTTTTTGAGGCAGAGCCTCACTCTGTTGCCCAGGCTGGAGTGCAGTAGCGCAATCCTGGCTCACTGCAACCTTGACATCCCGGGCTCAAGCCATCCTCCCACCCCAGCCTCCTGAGTAGTTACAACTACAGGTGTGCCCCAGCATGCCTGGCTAATTACTTTATTACTTGTAGAGACGGGATCTCGATATGTTGCTCGGGCTACTCTCTAACTCCTGGGCTCAAGGAATCCTCCTGCCTCGGCCTCCCACAGTGCTGGGATTACAGGTGTGAGCCACTGCACACGGCCTGCTCTTCTCTTCCATTTCCTTTAGGTTCAGTGAGGCATGGTGGCTCACGCCTATAATCCCAGCACTTTGGGAGGCCAAGACAGGTGGATCACTTGAGGGTCAGTTCAAGGCCAGCCTGGCCAACATGGTGAAACCCCGTCTCTACTAAAAGTACAAAAATTAGCCGAGCGTGGTGGTGCACATCTGTAATCCCAGATACTCAGGAGGCTGAGGCATGAGAATCGCTTGAACCCAGGAGGTGGAGGTTGTAGTGAGCCAAGATCGTGCCACTGCACTTTAGCCTGGGTGACACAGCAAGACTCCATCTCAAAAAAAAAAAAAAAAAAGAGACCAGCCAGGTACAGTGGCTCACGCCTGTAATCCCAGCACTTTGGGAGGCCAAGGTGGGCAGATCACCTGAGATCAGAAGTTCAAGACCATCCTGGCCAATGTGGTGAAACCCCGTCTCTACTAAAAATACAAAAATTAGCTGTGCGTGGTGGCGCGTGCCTGTAATCCCAACTATTCGGGAGGCTGCGGCAGGAGAATCCCTTGAACCAGGGAGTCAGAAGTTGCAGTGAGCCGAGATGGCGCCACTGCACTGCAGCCTGGCGACAGAGCAAGACTCTGTCTCAAAAAACAAACAAACAAACAAAAAACATTTCCTTTAGGTTCAACTTCCATGTGGACTGGGGGGCAGGGCTTGGGTAAGAGATGGGTGCAGGCAGTCTGTGAATTAAGGGATCTTTGCACGCTGAGAAACTGGGAAGGAATGGGATTCTCTGCCAGCTATGCTCTTCTCCATGAATCTGCTAAAAGGCAAGGAACCATCTCAAATCCTCTGAGAGGAAAGGAGATAGATTGGGGTTGGGCCCTGCTTCAGTCACTCCCCTGCTCCTGTCTCCTCCCCTCCTGCCCAATTTTCTTTTGGACAGATGCAGGCAAGAAGACTTGGAAGGTTCCTAGGAGGGAGTGGAAGTGTCAGGACAAATGTGTTACTTGGGCTCCCAGCCCCATTTTCTCCAAGATTCCTGACGGGATGTGAGAAAAAGCCCTCCTCTTGCCCCTCTCCTGAGGCCAACCAGCCGTCCCGAGAGCCCCTGTTCCTCCAGCTAGACCTCTGGGGGTTGGTCGGTAACCATCCTTGGTTTGGAAGATGCAGCTCTGTCTGAAGGATGCTGCTAAGTCGAGGGCCCCCCCCCCAGTGGGGAACAAGCACTGCAGCATGTCTGGCAGAACACCCCGGAAAGAGTGATGCCCAGAAAGGAGACACCACCATGAAGAGAGGACTGTGGCCAACTCGGACTCTCGTAACCCAGCCATCTCACAGAAGGTGGAGGAAGCCAACAAGGGCTTGTGGTCATTCAGCTGCATTTGCCAGCACTCGGCACGCCCCCTGAGTCAAGGCGGGGGCCATCCTAGGTGGCAAAGGGACAAGAAGACAAGGTCCACACCCACCAGGAATCCAGGCCAGTGGGAAACAGTTGGCTACATAGGCACAAAGGAAGAGCCGCTGATTCTATCTGGAAGGGGGTGACACACAAGCTGCACAGTGGAAGCTGGGTCGCATTTCTGCAGGACAGGGGAGAACAACCAAGGGGCCATGTTCAGAAACCACCGATCCTGCTGTGCTGGGGGAGGTTGGGAAATGATAGGGGAGGAGGATGGAAATGCATTGAAGACACTGAGCTTGGTCCTGTGCACCATGTGGGGGAGGGCAGCATCCATTATTTTTTTGGCTGATTATTAGAATTGATATGCTTATCATAAAAAAAATTGAGGGAGAAACAGAAATAGGATAAAGATTAAAATCACTCATATGCCAACTACCTATAAACAACCACTGCTAGTTAATATTTTAATGCTTTTGTAAACCAAGAATTTTGTGAGGCAGGTGTCAATTAATTTAGAGGTTTATTTTTCCAAGGTTAAGGATGCACATCCAGAAGACAGGTCTGTGCCTGTCTCCAAGGATGATTTTGAGGGCTTCAATATTTAAAGAAGAAAGGGTGGATATTGGTGAAAGGAAGAAATTTTTAAAAGGCATGGGTAGATAAGAGGCAAATGGTTGCATTCTTTTGAGTCTTTGATCAGCCCTTCACATGTGAGAGGTGGGCAGAGGACTAGTCACCTATGCATTCATCTAGCTCAGTGAATCTGCATTTTTACATAAGATAAAATAAACATAGGGGCCAGCATGGTGGCTCAAGCCTGTAATCCTAGCACTTTGGGAGGCCAAGGCAGGTGGATCACTTGAGCTCAGGAGTTCGAGACCAGCCTGGGCAACATGGCAAAACCTAATTTCTACAAAATATACAACAATTAGCTGGGCATAATGGCACATGCCTGCGGTCCCAGCTACTTGGGAGGCTGAGGTGGGAGGATCACCTGAGCCCAGGGAGGTAGAAGCTGCAGTGAGCTGTGATCACGCCACCATTCCCTCTCTATAATCTTTTGCTTTATTTATAAACAGTGCTGCAATAAATAACTTGGTACATACGTCATGTTTTACATGTACAACTCTGTATGCAGGATAACTTCCTGGAAGTGAAATTGCAGGTCAAAGGGCAGGTGCAGTTATCATTTTGGTGGATATCACCAAATAGCTCTCCATAGAAGTGATGTTAATTGCTTTAAAATGTCCTTCTTTTGCTGTAAATGAGGGACATAATAAAGTCTGAATTTAGAGCTGGTAAGGCTGGATTAGGGGAGGGTTGGCAGGGACCAGCTAGGAGGCTGCTACAATCGTACAGGAGAAACCGCCTGGAACTGAACTACGGGCCAGAACCACTGGACTAAGGCAGTAGAAGAAGCTGGAGCCCTGAATTCAAGGAACATGCCAGACTTAGAACTGACAGGACACAGACATGATTGGCATTTGGAGGTGAGGAAGCAAAGGTCTCTGACAGGGACGAGTGGGAAGCTGCATCTGAAGTCAGAAACAAAAGCAGCCCAACAAGCTGGGCGTGGTGGCTCACACCTGTAATCCCAGCACTTTGGGTGGCTAAGGCAGGAGGATCGCTTGGGCCCAGGAGTTCAAGACCAGCCTGGGCAAAAAAGGCGACACTCCGTCTCTATAAAAAATACAAAATTTAGCCAGGTGTGGTGGTGCGGTGCCTGTGGTTCCAGCCACACAGGAGACTGAGGCTGGAGGATCACCTGAGCCAGGGAGGTCGAGGGTGTAGTAAGCAGTGGTCACGCCACTGCACCCCAGCCCAGGCAACACAGCAAAACACTATCTCAAAAAAAAAAAAAAAAAAGAGCCCAACAGAGAAGGAAGGAGCCTCTCAGATTTCAGGAGCCTCTGTTTCACAGAGGGAGAGATATTAATTATGATGATGAAGCTCTCAATTTGTTTCATTCTCCTATGTTAGGAGAATGACCATTCTGAAAAAGATAAAACACACACATTAAGAGGGAATTGAAAATTTCCATTCATGAGCCGGGCACAGTGGCTCATGCCTGCAATCCCAGCACTTTGGGAGGCCAAGGCAGGTAGATCACTTGAGGTCAGCGGTTCGAGACCAGCCTGGCCAACATGGCGAAACACCATCTCTACAAAAAAAATACAAAAAATTAGCCAGGTGTGGTGGTGCACGCCTGTAATCCCAGCTACTTGAGAGGCTGAGGCAAGAGAATTGCTTGAACCCAGGAGGCAGAGGTTGCAATGAGCCAAGATCGCACCACTGCATTCCAGCATGAGACTGTCCAAAAAAAAGAAGGAAGGAAGGAAGGAAGGAAGGAAGGAAGGAAGGAAGGAAGGAGAAAGAAAGAAAGAAAGAAAGAGAAAGAAAGAAAGAAAAGAGAAATGAAATCTGCCAGCTGACCAGGATGGCTCACTCTTAAATATGATAAGACAAAGATCGTCAGATATTTGAAAAATGACCTTAGCATGAAAAAGAGACAAGGATAAATGGTGGTGGTGGTCAGGGCAGAGCTCCATAAGAAAGAGAAGTAATTTAGGAAACAGAAGACAAAAGAACATTTTAAATATTTCAGGCATTTGTCAGATAGATTGGAGAGGTGTTACATCCCTAAACAAGGACAGGATGCTATGAAAAGGAGTAATCAGAGAATAAGTGTGAACTACTGGAAATTAAAGATAGGATCACAGAAATAAAAAAGTCATTAGAAGGTGTTGGAAGGTAAGAGAATTAGTTTTATATCTAAATGATAGTATATCTAGATCCTAAAAATTTCCTTAGAGGTAAAAAAAGAAAAAAAGAAAGGTTACCTAAAAATTTCCTTAGAGGTAACAAAAGAAAGAAAAAAGAAAGAGTACCTCTAAAAATATAGGCATCAGACACTGGGTGTGGCGGCTCACGCCTTTAATCCCAGCACTTTGGGAGGCCAAGGCGGGTGTATCACCTGAGGTCAGGAGTTTGAGACCAGCCTGACCAACATGGAGAAACCCCGTCTCTACTAAAAATACAAAATTAGCCGTGCATGGTGGCACATGCCTGTAGTCCCAGCTACTCAGGAGGCTGAGGCAGGAGAATCACTTGAACCTGGGAGGCAGACATTGCGGTGAATTGAGATCTCACCATTGCACTCCAGCCTGGGCAACAAGAGCAAAACTCCATCTCAAAAAAAAAATATATATATATATATTTATATGTATATGTATATATAGTTATATGTGTATATATTTGCATATATATTTGTATATATATGCATATATATTTGCATATATATGTATATATTTGCATATATATGTGTATATATATTTGCATATATATGTGTGTATATATATTTGCATATATATGTGTATATATATTTGCATATATATATTTGCATATATATTTGTATATATATATATTTCCATATATATATATACATACACATATATATATGCATCAGACTGGTCTCAAAGTTCTCACCAGCAAAGGCTAGAACTATGCCTTCAATATTCAATGACCAAAGCAATTTTCAATCAAGAATTCTATATCTGTCCAAATTGCCATTCAAGTGTGAGGGTGGAGCAATGATACTTTCAGACATGAGGGACTCAGAAAACCTACATACCACACACTCCTTGAGAAATTAAAGATGTGGTACAGCAAAATGAGAGCATAAACAAAGAAGAAACAAGCAGAAGAAAGGAAGAGAAGGAGGGAGGGAGAGAGGGCTGCCAGGCCCAGGGCATCAGTGAAAGGAAGAAGCCCCAGGCCAACACCTATGTGGCGGAAGGGCAGAGGGCTCTGTGTAACAGGTCCTGAGAAATAAGGCACCTCTACTCATTTGCTGGAAAGGTGAGAGCAGACTTGAGGAAATGACAAGGGTATTATTAAAGAATAAGCCTGGCATGGTGGCACATGTCTGTAATCCCAGCTACTTAGAAAGATGGCTTGAGTCCAGCCTGGGTGACACGGTGAGACCCTGTCTAAGAAAGAGAGAGACAGAGAGAGAGAAAAAAGAGAAGGGAAACGAGAAGAAGAAAGGCAATTAGAAACTCTTATGAAAAACTAGAAGAAATAAAAGAAGAAAATTCATCATAGGACATTGTGTGGCTCTGTAATAAACAATATTTACATTGTCACAAAATGTAAACACTATTTATTGGATTTAAACATTTAGAAACCTATAAGCAAAGCACAGAAGATTAGAACATAATCTAATGAGAAAATTGGAACATAAATGTTGTCAACATTGAACATTTAAAGTAAATGTGCCAGGCGTGGTGGCTCATTCCTGTAATCCCAGCACTTTGGGAGGCCTAGGTGGGTGGATCGCTTGAGGTTAGGAGTTCGAGACCAGCTTGGCCAACATGGCCAAACCCTATCTCTACTAAAAATACAAAAATTACCTGGGTGTGATCGTGCATTCTTGTAATCCCAGCTAGTTGGGAGACTAAGGCAGAAGGATCACTTGAACCTAAGAGGCGGAGGTTTGTCGTGAGCCAAGACCATGCCATAGCACTCCAGCCTGGGTGCACTCCAGCCTGGGTGACAGAGCAAGACTCTGTCTCAAAAAAAAAAAAAAAAGTAAATGTTCAGAAGACAGAAGTTGGGAAGGGCAGCCTAAAGGGAAAGGTAGGAGTGATGATATCTTTATCCTATAAACAGTGAGTCAAAACTACTATCAACAGCTAGTGGGATGAAAAATAAAGATGTAGTCACTTAAAGCAACAGAGGTAATTGACAGATTTATTTTTATTTTATTTAGAGGAATTAAATAAGAACAGTTATATAACTGTACTGACAGTAGGGTGGGGGGACGGTTGTTTGGATTAGATATGTAAACTAAATCCTCATTTTTGATAAATTATTATTATTATCATTGTTTTGTGTGTGTGAGATAGGGTCTGGCTTTGTCACCCAGGCTGCAACCTCCGCCTCCCAGGTCCAAGCAATTCTCCTGTCTCAGCCTCCCAAGTAGCTGGGATTACAGGCATGTGCCATCACACCCAGCTAATTTTTTGTATTTTAGTACAGATAGGGTTTCACCATGTTCCTCTGGCTGGTCTTGAACTCCTGAGCTCAAGCAATCCGCCTGTCTCACCCTCCCAAAGTGCTAGGATTACAGGCGTGAGCCACCGTGCCCCACCTCATTTTTGATAGTTATAAATTAATAGAGGATGTTTAAACTTGAAAAGCCAAGGAACAGTGGCATTAGCATATTATTTAGAGATATGGAAGTTACTCCCAGAATAAAGAGCTAAAAGAGTTAGAAGCAGTTGCCTCTGGGGAGCAAGACTAGGGGTGGGAGGGATGAGGTAGGGGACTGTAAGCTCTTCTGTTCTAGTTTATTTTTAACCATGTGCATGAATTACTTTGATACAAAACATTTTAAGTGTGTCACAAGACAGATGAGAAGGTGGAGGGCAGACCTTTTGTGGCCATAGATGAGTTCTGGGGGCCTGATTCAGGTAGGACACCAGAGTCATGAAATCCCTTGCAGGTAGGACTGAAAAACAACCTAGATACTTGAGGACAGTGGAGATGGGAAAATGTTCCGATTTTTACAAGGAGACAGAAGGTATTTCTGGAAATTATAGACCAAACGGCTCAATATAGAATCCTGGCAACATTCTGGCACAGATTATTAAACAGATGGCTTGGGAGTGCTTTGTGACTTTTTATTTATTTATTTATATGCCACCTCATTCCAAAAAGAGGAATCTGTAGTGGCTTACAGAGATACATACTATACTATAAGACAAAAACATTTCTTTAAATGAGGAAAGGGTCTCAAAAAGTTAAACACAGAGTTACTATCTGACACAGCAAACCACCCTTCTAATATGTACCCAAGAGAACTAAAACATATTCACATAAAAACTTGTGCATGAATATTCTCAGCAGCATAATTCATAATAGCCAAAAAGTAGAAACCCAAATGTCCAACAGCTGATGAATGTATAAACAAAATGTGGTATGTCCATACAATAGAATACTATTCAGCCATAAAAAAGGAATAAACTACTGATACCATGGATGAACCTTGAAAACATTATGCTAAGTACAGGAAACCAGACACAGAAAGCCACATATTGTATGATTCCATTTATATGAAATATCTAGATATGAAATATCTAGAACAGGCAAATCCATAAAGACAGAAAGTAAGTCGAGGGGAAGAGAGAGTGAGAAGTGACTGCTAATGGGTGTGGAGTTTATTTTTGGGGTGATGGAAATGGTCTGGAATTAGTAGTGATGGTCACACAATCTTGTAAATACACTAAAAACCACTGGATTGTACACTTTAAAAGGGCGAATATTATGATATGTGAATTATCTCAATTAAAAAGCTTTATTATAGAAAAAGTTAAGGAAAGGAGGGTGTATTCATACATTCTCACACTGATATAAAGACATACTTGAGACTGGGTAATTTATAAAGAAAAGAGGTTTAATTGACTCATAGTTCTGTGGGCTATACAGGCTTCTGCTTCTGGAGAGGCCTCAGAAAACTTACAATCATGGCGGAAGGCGAAGGGGAAGCAGGCACATCTTCACATGGCCAGCAGGAAAAAGAGAGCAAAGGAGGAGGTGCTACACACTTTCAAACGACCAGATCTCATAAAAACTCATTATTGAGAGAACAGCAAGGGGGATGTCTGCCCCCATGATCCAATCACCTCCCACCAGGCCCCTCCTCCAACATTGAGAATTATAATTTGACATGAGATTTGGGTAGGGACACAGACCTAAACCATATCAGAGGGTGAAGAGAAAAAGACAAAAAATAATGCAGAACCAAGTCAATATGTAACACACACACCACAAAATTCTTTGTAGGTGATAAAGATGCACCATGGCTTTGATCTTGAGCTTTGCAGCAGCTACTACAAACCTGGAAAATAGTGTTAATTAAATGATTCCTGGAATCCGTAAGACAAACATGAACTGGTTGCTCAGGAGGATCATGGCCTTTTTTTGGTGCTGATGCCCAATAGGCATCTCTCTGGTGTGTCTTCATAAAGAGGATCCATTGACAACAACATCTCCCCATATCTCCGGTGACAAGAGTCGCACAGTTATATCCCAGGTTCAGTCAAATTGGACACAAAGCCCAAGTATAATTCAATAAAGGCACTTTAGTGCAGGGCCTAAATGGTACAGGATATGCAGGCAGTTCTTCAGTGGTAAAATGTGGATTTTCTGGAGCAGTGGTTTCCAACCCTAGCTGCACATTAGGAAGTCCTGGGAACTTTTGCAAAATACCAACACAGGACTCCACCAACCAGAGATTCTGATTTTTTCTATGTTTCCAGGGGATTTTAATATATAGCCAAATCTGAGAACTGATGAGATCGATAAATTGTACATTTTTCATGAAATCCTCTATAAATACTATTTCTTGCCTCAGAGTTTCATCAACTCAAGGTTATAATACTTAAACACATTTTTGCGTAGCTAATATTTTCTGAATGCCAGCTATGTACCAGGCAGGTGCTGTGCTCTAAGATATAAGGATAATTGTGTGACCCAATCTCTATCTTCAAGGAGCTGATCCAGTATTGATTCGGGTTACAGACACCTCAGCTGCTTGTCACAAAGGAAGGTGGTGAGGGGATGCAGAGAACACAAGGCAGGCACTCGGGGCAGCTCTGGGTGGGTGGAGCACTCCCAGCAGAATGAACAACTTAGCTGAGTCCCAAAGGAAAGATTAATTAGGAAAAAGTGGAGTGGGAGAGTGGTACATTGTGGTCAATATTTTTCTCAATAACTTGGATGACTATTAGTAACCATTCTATATGAATGTGAGGTGCCATGCTTACTCAAGAACAGCTGGAGGAATAGCCCCTTGCTACATGACTGAATGGGGGACCAAAGTGCACTGGTGGGCAAGAGGAACTCAAACCAAGATTAATTGACACTCCAGATCAGGGGAAGGCAACTAAGAAGCATGAGCAGTGCTGCCCTGAGTGTTCTACCAGAGGCTTTGCATGTGTTATCATGTAATCCTACATCGA
The DNA here is from genome assembly GCF_000001405.40 of Homo sapiens. Classification (NCBI taxonomy): domain Eukaryota; kingdom Metazoa; phylum Chordata; class Mammalia; order Primates; family Hominidae; genus Homo; species Homo sapiens. The sequence continues at coordinate 205,556,626 of NC_000001.11, forward strand.
CATTTTACAGTTGAAGAAAATCAGCCTTATAATGTCAAGGTAGCCGCCTTGAGTTGGCACAGCCAAGTGTGTAGCCAGAACTCAAGTCTAAGCCTGTCTCACTCCACGGTCCAGGTTCTTTCTGTTATTCCACATGTATCAAGTCCTGTATCAATTCTTTAGATTCAAAGAATCAGCTGCTCATAGACAAGATAGGCAGGCTTGGTTCAGCTGCATTTTCTGTGGGGGAAAATGTTAACAGCTATCAGCTTATGCACTAGTCTTAGATGTGTGTATTGGAGTTGAATGTGAGAGGCAGACATTCTCATGGGAAGGATCCAGACTTTGGAGTCAGGCAACGCAGGCTCAAAACTCAGCTTTGCTACTTATGCTGTGTGACTTTAGGCAAGTTACTCTGCCTTCCTGAGCCTCAGTTTTCTTATCCATAAAATAGGGATAATAATATCTACCTCACAGGACCATTGTGAAGATTAAAGTTAATGTATATGCATGGAACATTTTCCAAGATAGAGCATATGTTAGGCCACAAAATAAATCCCAACAAATATTAAAAAATCAGGCTGGCTAGGTTGGGCATGGTGGTTCACACCTGTAATTCCAGCACTTTGGGAGGCCAAGGCATGTGGATCACTTGAGGTCTGGAGTTCAGACCAGCCTGGCCAACATGGTGAAACCCCATCTGTACTAAAAATACAAAAATTAGCTGGACGTGATGGTGCACGTATGTAATCCCAGCTATTCAGGAGGCTGAGGCAGGAGAATTGCTTGAACCCGGGAGGCAGAGGTTGCAGTGAGCCAAGATCGTTCCACTGCACTCTAGCCTGGGCAACAGAGAGAGACTCCATCTAAAAAAAAAAAAAAAAAAATTAGGTCGGCTATGGTGGCTCATGTCTGTAATCTCAACACTTCGGGGGGCAGGAGGATTGCCTAAGCCCAGGAGCTCGAGACCAGCCTGGGCAACACAGAGTGAGACCCCATCTCTATGGAAAAAAAAAAAAAAAAAAAAATAGAAACCTTACCTAGTATTTTCTCAAACTACAATGGAGTAAAACTAGAAATTAATAACAAAAGGACCCCTGGAAACTATACAAATACATGGAAATTAAATAATACATACCTGAACAACCACTGGGTCAATGAAGAAATTAAAAAGGAAATAAAAAAATGTCTTGAAACATGAAAATGGAAACACAACATACCAATACCCACAGGATACAGTAAAAGCAATACTAGGAGAGATGTTTATAGCGATAAATACTTATATCTAAAAAGTAGAAAGATTTCAAATAAACAACTCCATGATGCTCCTCATGGAACCAGAAAAGCAAAAACAAATTGAACCCAAAATTAGTAGAAGCAAAGAAAGAATAAAGATCAGGGCAGAACTAAACAAAATAGAGACTAAAAATAGTACCAAAAGATGAAAAAAATGAAAACTTGTTTTTTCTAAAGATAAACAAAATTGACAAATCATCAGCTAGACTAAGAAAAAGAGAACACCCAAATAAATAAAATCAGAAGCTAGGCACGGTGGCACATACCTAGAGTTCCAGCAACTTTGTAGGCTGAGACAGGAAAATCGCTTGAGGCCAGGAGTTCTAGGCTACAGTGTATGATGATTGTGCCTGTGAATAGCCACTGCACTCCAGCCTGGGCAACAAAACGAGCCTCCATCTCTTAAAAAAAAAAATCAGAAATGAAAAGGGAGACATAATTGACACCACAGAAATATAAAGAATCATTAGAAACTATTATGAACATCTATATGCCAACAAATTGGAAAACCTAGAGGAAATAGATAAGTTCCTGAATATATATAACTTACCAAGATTGAGCCAAAAAGAAAACCTGAAGAGACCAGTAACAGGTAACAAGATTGCACCCATCATGCCACTGCATTCAAGCCTGGGTTACAGAGCCAGACCCTGTCAAAAGAGGAGAGGAGAGGAGAGGAGATGAGAGAGGGGAAGAGGGGAGGGGAGAGGAGGGGAGGGGAGTCTAACACCAATTCTTCTCAAATTATTCCAAAATAATTAAAGAGGAAGAAATTCTTCCAAACTCATTCTATGAGGACAGCATTTGATACCTGATATCAAAAACCAGACAAGGACAAAACAGAAAAAGACAACTACAGGCCAATATTTCTGATGAACATAGATGTAAAAATCCTCAACAAAATATTAGCAAACAGAATCCAACAACACATCATAAAGGTAATAATACACCATGTTCATGTGAGATTTATTCCAGGAATGCAAGAATGGTTCAACATTTGCAATTCAATAAACATGATACGTCACTTCAACAGAATAAAGGACAAAAACCGTATGATCATCTCAATAGGTGCAGAAACAGGATTTAATAAAACTACATATTTTCATGATAAAAACTCTCAACAAATTAGGTTTAGAAGAAACATACCTCAATACAATAAAGGCCATATATGACAAACCCACAGCTCACATCATACTCAATGAAGAAAAGCTGACACCATTTCCTCTAAGAACTAGAACAAAATAAAGATGCCTACCCTCATCACTCTTATTCAACTAGTACTGGAAGTCCTAGCCAGAGCATTTAGGCAAGAGAAAGGAACAAAGGGTATCCAAATTGAAAAACAGGAGTCAAATTGTCCCTTTGCAGACAACAGGATTTTACATATAGAAAAATCTAAAAGATCACACACACACACACACACACACACACACACACACAAACCTCTTGGAACTGATAGACAAATTGAGTAAAGTTGCAGATACAAAATCGACATACAAAAATGAGAAAATGAGTAGCATTTCTATATGCCAATAATGAACTAGCTGAAAAAGAAATCAAGAAAGCAATCTCACTTATAGTAGCTACAATAAAATAAAATACCTAGAAATAAATTTAACCAAGGAGGTGAAAGATCTCTACAATGAAAACTATAAAACACTACTGGAAGAAATTAGAGAGACAAAAAAATGAAGACATCTTATGCTCATGGATTAGAAGAATTAATATTGTAAAATGAACATACTACCCAAAGCAATCTACAAACCCAATACAATCTGTTTCAAAATACCAATGACATTCTTAACTGAAATAGAAAAACAATCCTAAAATTCATGTGGAACCACAAAAGACCCTGAATAGCCAAAGCAATCCTGAGCAAAAAAAAAAAAAAAAAAAAAGAAAGCTGGAGGCATCACGCTGTCTTCAAAATATGCTACAGAGCTATAGTAACCAAAACAGCATGGTATTGGTATAAAAATAGACACATAGACCAATGGAACAGAATAGAAAACCCAGAAATAAATTCATGTATTTTCAGCCAACTGATTTTCAACAAAGTTGCCAAAAACATACCCTGGGAAAGGATAGTCTCTTAAATAAATGGTGCTGGGAAAATTAGATATTCATATGCAGAATAATGAAATTAGACCCTCATCTTGCACCATGTGTAAAAGTCAACTCAATGGATTACAGACTCAAACATAAGACCCAAAACTACTAGAAGGAAACATAGGGGAAATGCTTCAGGACATTGGTCCAGGCAATGATTTTATCCATAATATTTCAAAAGCACAGGGAACAAAGACAAAAATAGACAAATTGGACTATATAAAATGAAAAAGCTTCTGCACAGTGAAAGAAACAATCAATAGAGTGAAGAGACAACCTGTAAAAAGGGGGGAAACATTTGCAAAGTATTCACCAACAAGGGACTAATATCCAGAATACATAAGAAACTCAAACAACTGGACAGCAAAAAAAAAAAAAAAAAAAAAATTAAAAAGTGGGCAAAGGATAAAAAAAAATAGACATTTCTCAGAAGGATACATACAAATGGCCAAACAAACATAGAGAAAAATGCTCAGCATCACTAATCATCAAGGAAATGTAAATCAAAACTGCAATAAGATATAATCTCACCCCAACTAGAATGGCTGTCATTAAAATGATAAAAAAAATGCTGGTAAGGATGCAGAAAAAAGGGAACTCTTATACACTATGGGTGAGAATGCAAATTAGTAAAACTATTATAGAAAACAGTATGAAGGTTCCTTAAAAAACTAAAAATAGATCTAGCTACCATACAATCCAGCAGTCTCACTACTGAGTATTTATACAAAGAAAAGAAAATCAGTACATCAAAGAGCTATCTGAATCCTCATGTTTATTGACGCTCTATTCACAATAGCCAAAATATGGATTCAACCTAAATAGACATCAACAGATGAATGGATAAAGAAAATGTGGTTTATATACACAATGGAATACTATTCAGACATGAAAAATAATGAAATTCTGCCGTTCACAGAAACATGATGAACCTGGAAGGCATTCTGTTAAGTGAAATAAGTTCAGGCACACAAATATTAATGTAGCATGATTACATTCATATGTGGAAGCTTGAAAAAACTGAGCTCATAGAAGTAGAGATAGGATTGTGGTTATTAGAGATTTATAAGGGTGGGGGGACGAGGAGGATAGGGTGAGGATGCTTAATAGATACAAAGTTACAGCTCGATGGGAGGAATAGGTTCTAGTGTTCTATAGCACTGCAGGGTGAACATGGCTTACAATAACTTAGTGTATATCTTTGAATAGTTAGAAGAGAGGATTTTGAATGTTCACAACACAAAAAAAATGATAAATATTTGAGGTGATAGATATGCTAATTGCCCTGATTTGATCATTACATACATTACATACATTATACCTGTATCACAACATCACTCCCTGTCCTCAGACTGTGCAGATAAAAAAAAAACTCTGTGCCCATAAGTATGTACAATTATTCTGTGTCAACCAAAGATAAAAGGAAAAAATAATGTATGTGCAGACAAGAAAAAGGTATTTACAATACATGTAACTGACAAAGAACTCATATCCAGCATATATCAAGAACTCCTAAATAAATTTCAGAGATAGACAACCCAATTTTAAAAGTAAGCTGAAGACTCAAAGGGGTATTTCAAAAAAGAGGATGTGCAAATTGCCAATAAGCATATGATGAGATACTGAACCTTATTTGTCATGAGGGAAATGCAAATGAAAACCTTTGAGATACTAGTACCCCTACAGGGGAGGGGAGGGGAGGGGAGGACTGACAATGCCAAGTGTTGACAAGGATGAGGAACTAAAACTCTAGTAGGAGTGTACACTGGACCAACAACTTTGAAAAACTGTCTTGCAGCATCTGCTAAAACCAAACCTATCTGTGACATAGCAATTTCACTTCTGGACATAAACTGAATAGAATGGGAGCTTCTGTCCACCAAAAAATAAGCATACAAATGTTTAGAGTAGCTTTATTGTAGCTGCAAACTGAAAACAATCTGAATGTCCATCAATAGTAGATGAGAAAAATATATTGTGGTATATCCATGTAATGGAATACTACATAGCAATGAAAATAATGAACTGCTGCTCTCACATACATAATGTGGAGCAAGTACACTACTGTTTCTGGCATGGGTGCTGGAAATGTTCTATATCTTGATGTGGATGGTGGTCACATAGATGTGTACACGTATAAAAATCATCAAGCTATTTAAGACTTGTGCACTTTAATATATGTAAGTTTAACCTCAATCAAAACAGTAAACTAAAAAATACTATATGTTATGTGCTTGGCATGGAGTGGGCACTGAATAAATAGTTGTCAGAATTTCTAGAGAAGAGGAGGCAGCAAGCCCATTGCACTGCGCACTGCTCAGACCACCAGGAGCCCTCGGTGCAGTGCTGGGAGCCACCCTTTTTGAGAGGGTCGCTGACCATGACAGCATGGCATGACGGTGTGATAAGAATAGCAAGGGAGTACTTGGTAAATGAGAGATGGCTGAAGGAAGCAGAGACAATGATGTCAGGAATAAGACTTCGAAAGAACATAGAGTGTATTCCAATAGTGAATGGCTCTCTGTAGAATGGGAATTAGACTTTTGCTTTGTGGCTCTAAAGTAGTGATTCTCAAACTGTAGCTGCATCTCAATCCCCTGGAGGGCTTGTTAAAACACAGATTATTGCTGCGCACGGTGGCTCACGCCTGTAATCCCAGCACTTTGGGAGGCCAAGGCGGGTGGATCACTTGAAGTCAGGAGTTCGAGACCAGCCTGGCCAACATGGCGAAAACCCATCTCTACTAAAAACAGAAAAGTTAGCCAGGCGTGGTGGCGTGCACCTGTAATGCCAGCTATGCAGGAGGCTGAGGAAGGAGAATCGCTTGAACCCGGGAGGCGGAGGCTGCAGTGAGCCAAGATCACACCACTGCACTCCAGCCTAGGCAATAGAGCTAGACTCTGTCTCAAACAAAAACAAAAACAAAACAGGTTACTGAGCCTCACCCCTAGAGTTTCTAATTCAGCTAGTCTTGGGTAAGACCAAGAGTCTGAATTTCTAACAAGTTCCTCAGACATGCTGCTGCTGGTGGTCCAGGGACACGCTTTGCCAGCCACTGTTCTAGTGCACAAAATGAGGATGGCAGTTTGTGTTGTTGTTAATAATAATAACCATGAGAATTTATTGGGAACCTGGTGTACCAGCTCCTGTTACATACTGTCTACATTTTCTCACAGTAAGGGAGTTCTTATTCACCCCATTTAAAAAACGAGGAAACCGAGGGTCAGTTTCTCACTGATTTCACAGCCTGGGCTAGATCCACTGATTCCTGAGCCTAGGCGTGCTCAAGCTGAGGCCAGGTGGCTACCTGCAGGGATGCTGGATGCTGTAAGTGGAATCCCATTTCTGAGTGGGAGGTTGCACTAATTTCTTTCTTTCTGTCTTTCTTTTCTTTCTTTCTTTCTTTCTTTCTTTCTTTCTTTCTTTCTTTCTTTCTTTCTTTCCTTTCTTTCCTTCCTTCCTTCCTTCCTTTCTTCTTTCTTTCTTTCTTTTTTTTTTTTTTTTTTTGAGACGGAGTTTTACTCTTGTTGCCCAGGCTGGATTGCAATGGCACAATCTCGGCTCCCTGCAACCTCTGCCTCCTGGGTTCAAGTGATTCTCCTGCCTCAGACTCCCGAGTAGCTGGGATTACAGGCGCACGCCACCACGCCTAGCTAATTTTGTATTTTCAGTAGAGACGGGGTTTCTCCATGTTGGTCAGGCTGGTCTCGAACTCCTGACCTCAGGTGATCTGCCCTCCTCAGCCTCCCAAAGTGCTGGGATTACGGGCGTGAGCCACCATGCCTGGCTGGTTGCACTAATTTCAGAGAGTCCTTCCAACTGTCCGTTAAACTAGTTTCAACTAGCACTTTTAAGCACTAGCACCTAATAAGCACCAACTAAATGCCAGATGCTAGGCAACACCTCTCCAGGGTGTTTATGGCAACTGGTCTAACTCTAAGATGTTTCCGGGTCATCTCACCTCCTCCTGTCCCTCCCTTTCTTGGCACTTGTGTGACCACTCCCCTTACCCTCCAGGCAGGCTAGCACTAAGTAGCTCAACCGGATATTTGGTAAAGGAGGCTCTTTGTACACACACCCGCCTCTGCTGTATTTGCATTCATGTGCCTTAGGATGGCTGGGCCATCCAGGTATAGTCCTTGGCACCAAACTATCTGCCATCCGCCCCATGCCAACCTCAGACAGAGCCTTCCAATCCACCGCCACACTCTGGCCAGCAAAACAACCACACAGGGAGTGACAAGACAAAATCTGGAGATAGGGGAGGGGTGGCTTCATGACCCAGAATGGCCAGACTAACTGCAGGATGTGCTTAATGACCTTGAGCTGGAGACTTCACTCTACTGCTCCTGCCTGGCCTCTGCAGAATCTGGAAGCAGAGACCAGAAGGCCCTGGGGACAGAGGGCAGCCCCAGGTCACTAAGAGGATCCTGCTAAGCATGAAATCAAGCCCAAGTCCCAGTGACTCCCCACTAGGCTGGTGAGAATCAGGCCTCTTCTCTTTATATCTCATTTAAATATTTAAGGTTTTCAGTTCTAACAGAAACAGTAACAAAAACAAAATACACAACATGGGTTTATACACTAAGGAATTTCTGCAGCTGTAATGCATGTAAAAGGATAGTGGTAAGGGTATCTAACTCTTATTTCATTGTTCGTTTACTTTCTTCTGTGTGTTTCCATGACATAGATTACCTACAGATGGTCCAAGATCTGCAGGTGATTTATTGCTTCTCAACTTCCAGGTATAAAGCATAGGAGTTCAGCTGAGTGCAGTGGCTCACGCCTGTAATCCCAGCACTGTAGGAGGCTGAGATGGGCAGATCACCATGGGCCAACATGGTGAAACCCTGTCTGTACTAAAAATACAAAAATTAGCCAGGTGTGGTGGCGTGCACCTGTAATCCCAGCTACTTGGAAGGCTGAGGCAAGAGAATCACTTTAAACTGGGAGGCAGAGGTTGCAGTGAGCTGAGATTGCGCCATTGCACTCCAGCCTGGGTGACAGAGCTACATTCCATCTCAAATAATAATAATAATAATAATAATAATAATAATAATAATAATAAATGAATAAATAAAAGGCCGGGTGTGGTGGCTCACGCCTGTAATCCCAGCACTTTGGGAGGTCGAGGTGGGCAGATCATGAGGTCAGGAGATCGAGACCATCCTGGCTAACATAGTGAAACCCCGTCTCTACTAAAACTACAAAAAAAATTAGCCGAGCGTGGTGGTGGGTGCCTGTAGTCCCAGCTACTCGGCAGGCTGAGGCAAGAGAATGACGTGAACCCGGGAGGCGGAGCTTGCAGTGAGCCAAGATGATGCCACTGCACTCCAGCCTGGGCAAGAGAGCAAGACTCCGTCTCAAAAAAAAAAAAAAAACACAAGAGTTCAGTGTAGTATAAACACCTCTCACCAAGGAGTCAGAAATCCAGGCACCCAGTGATGAACCAATCCTGTGGTCCTTGCCTTGGAAGGGCGGCACTAAACAGAATCAGCACTAGGATAGTTTGGGAGCCCCAAGGAGGGAGCCTAGGAAGGTCAGAAAAAGGCTTCTGGAGAGCCAACCCTTGAGGCAATTAATAGATTTCAGGCTCCAAGAGCTTGAGAACCCTTTACTCCCACAGATCCTTTATTCCAATTAATGTAACCTTTCCATATTTGGGAGTCTCAGATCACTTTCCTTGGCTTGTGACGGTGGGGGATAATTCCCTTCTAATTTATAAGGGGGGAAATCAGAGAGTAGTTAAAGAAGGATCCAAGGTTTTGCCCTTCAAATTTAAGAATAACCACAAGGTGCCCAACTAAGAACAGACATGTGAATACACAGCACAAAGGAAAGACTGGATAGCGTCTGCCCTTGGGGAACTTGTAAGTGGGAGATAAGACATGTAAATGTAAAGCCAAAAGTAATTGTATAATTTTTGTGCAAACAATTCACCTCACCAGCTATTTGTCCAGGACTTGCTATCTGCAAGGCATTCTTTTATGTGAGGCACATGAGAAGGGGTGGAGTTAGAACACAGGTAAATATACTCCCAGCCCTTAGGAACTCATGATTTAACTGGCTCCCGTAAGGGGCTGGAGGAACAGTCCGTGGAATGTAATACCTGGCCTTGTGAAGATAGGGTAGCAGTACAGGAGTGGATGAGAGTCTTGCTGGAAATAAGAATTTAATAGAATTAATTCATCTGGGAAAGATGCCTAGAGGAGGTGGACAGTGTGTGATGCTGGAAAACAGAAGGGACAGAGAAAGGGATGAAGAAAGCAAAAATAAGCAAAACGTTTTCACATATAGACTTGGCTTTCAGACCCCACTCAAAAGTCACCTCTTCCATGAAGCCTTCCCAGGCAGAATTAGACACTTAGCTCTCCAGGCCCTCAAACCACCCCATTACAGAAGGTACCTCACTGCTGCACAGTTGGCCCCCTGTCTCTGTGGGTTCTGCATTTGTAAATTCAACCAACTGCAAATCGAAAATATTTGGGAAAAAAATTCATCTGTACTGAACATGTACAGACTTTTTTCTTGTCGTTATTCCCTAAACAATACAGTATAACAACTATTTACATAGCATTTACAGTGTATTAGGTATTATAAGTAATCCAGAGATGATTTAAAGTATACAGGCCTATGGATGTAGGTTATATGCAAATACTATGCCATTTTATATCAGGGACTTGAGCACCTTCAGATATTGGTATCTATCGTTTCTCAGCCTTTTGGCAAGACCAAGTGTAGTATCTGTTCTTATCAGATATTGGTATCTGCAGGCACTCCTGGAACCAATCCCCCCACGGGATATGGGATATGGAGAGACAACTGTAACTTGTTTCCATATCTGCTTATCTCAACCAGAGGACCTTGTACAGTACCAGAACCCAATAGGTCTTTGACTATGAAGAGGCTGAGTACTGTATTCACGGTGGAATGCCTCCCTTTATTTTTACTTACTTTTTATTTTTACTTTTTACCATTTTAATCAAGTATAACTTACACACAAAAATGCACAAATCTTAAATCTACAGACCAATAAGTTTTTACATATATTTACACCTGTGTAACTACCACCTAGATCAAGCTTCAGAATGCTTCCAGCATCCCAGGCACTGGGGGCTACCTCATTGTGGCAGGGTCATTTGTTACTGTGGCTAGAGGAGCTGAGCCAGCAAGGTGCTGTAGTTGGGGAACGCCATTTAGGGAAATTATGGAAGGATTTCAGGTGTTTGGGCTAGAGAAGCAAAATCATTAGGGCAAGGTCATTTTGGGTGTGAAGGACTTACATGACAGAGCAATTAGATTTGTTCTGTGTGGGGCCGTGGGGAGCAGTTACAGGGCGAAGCATTTCAATTTTGCCTAAGACCATTTCTACAACCAGAGCTCATCCACACTGCAAGCAGAGCCCCTAGGAATATGCAAGGTCCCCAGCACTAGAGGTGTCAGTCAAGAACAGGACTGGCAAGCATTCAAAGGCAGTTATGGGGAGGGGATAGGGGACTCAATTGGAGGCTATTCCTTCCAATTCTGAGCTTCTATGGTTCCTGGAGTTCTGTGATAGTGGCAGAGAAGACTCAGTCAAAAACTTGTGGTTATGATTTGTTTGGTGTTTTTTCTTTTTTTTTCCCCCAGAGGGTAGCTTTTCAGTTTATTACAATTACTGTGCAGGCCCCCCATCATCACTATCGAATAAGTACTTGTCATTACCCACAGAGTGATGAGCCAGAGGGACCCTGGGGCTCCCCCTTCTCTGGGGCTCACTGTCCAAGAAGGGATAGGGCAGATGCAGGGGTGCGGCTATGAGATGGGACCAGTACCTGCAAGAGAAATTGGTTGCCCCACCTCATGCCAAGTTGTCTTGGGGACACCCGCCCACATACCTCCTCAGTCTTTTCAGCCCTGGTCCCCCTGGTGGGCCAGTGGAAATGATGTCATGGCTCCTGTCATTACCAGAAGACCTGGGCAGAGGGGACACCGCAGGGCCTTACTGTTCTGCCTCCAGGGGCCAGATCCTGGCTCCCTTAGGAGCGGGAACACACAGAACCCACCAGCCAGCCCGAGGCCACCTAATGAAGGGACAGCCTAGGTCAGCTGCAGGCTCCTCGAAGGACACCCAGTCTAGAGAATAATCAACCCCTACTCACTGCCAGGGATTTATCCATGGAAGAAAGAATTTTCCCCAGAACTCTTTTTAAATTTTTTTTTCTAGGAGATTATTTCAGAATTCCTCCCGGGGTTCCTCCAGGACGCGGCCCTTCCCTCTCTGCCCTCCTCCAACTAGTTAGAAGGAGAGAGAGAGAGTCAGCATAGACCAGCGTCATCCTCCTCCTTCCCGCACCTGGCCAGGTGGGGAGGAGGGCCTCATCTCAGGCCCTTCCAGGGAGCTTAGTGTGAGGAAGATGTTGAGTTTCTAGGGTTCTCCTTCTAAAGGGCAATGTGATTAACCTCTTGGGGTTCTAATGAAAGCCATGCACGAATACTCTCCCAAGGAGAAACATATGTACAACAAGATTTTGCCTTCTGTTCTGGGGGAAAGGGGGGTGCCGTTAGACCCTCGAAGTCCATCTGTGAAGCGCCTAGGTTTAAAGGGGTCCGGGTTTCCTCCACTGCCACAGCCCGGGTGCGGGGAGAGGGCCCCTAGCCTTATCCGGAGATACAGGATGTCTCGGGCTCTCCATCTGCCGGGCTCTAAAATGGGCGCTCGGTCCCTGGGGGCTGCATCCGGAGGCTGGGGGGACTGGTCGAGGGAGAGCGGGCGGGGGGCAGCGCGGCTCCCGGTTGGTCTCCGCAGCCGGGGGAGGGCGAGCATGTGCGCTCGGGTAGGAGGGGGAGGCCGGCGCCTGGCACCGCACGGGGAAGGCGCGGGAGCGGACGCACTGCCCACCCGCCGCAGAGGCGCCCCCGCCGCCGCCCGGGCCCAAGGGCGGGGCCCCTCGCTGGGGCGGCCCCTCCCCGCCCCTCCCTCCCCGCCGCGGGCCTCCCCAGCCCGGCCGGCCCTCCCGCGGGCGGCACTCGGGCACCGGGCTCGCCGGGACCAGATCCGCGAGCCCGTCAGCCTGCGCCATGGGCTGCGACGGCCGCGTGTCGGGGCTGCTCCGCCGCAACCTGCAGCCCACGCTCACCTACTGGAGCGTCTTCTTCAGCTTCGGCCTGTGCATCGCCTTCCTGGGGCCCACGCTGCTGGACCTGCGCTGTCAGACGCACAGCTCGCTGCCCCAGATCTCCTGGGTCTTCTTCTCGCAGCAGCTCTGCCTCCTGCTGGGCAGCGCCCTCGGGGGCGTCTTCAAAAGGACGTGAGTGCCGCGCCCGTGCGCCCCCGCCCCGCGGCCCCCGGCACCCACCCTCGCCGGGCCGACCCTTCCCTCCCGCCCCGCGACCCGGCCTCTCCCCCGGCCCCGTGGGGCTGCCCGTCGCCCCCGCCTCCCGGCCGCGACCACCCCTCCCAGCTCCATCTTGGCCGAAGAGCTGCCTCCCTCCCTCCCTCCCTCCCCCGCAGCTCTCCCTGGAAAACTCTCTCCAGAGACTGAAGGTGACTTCTGGCTTATTTATTTGTCATCACTCATCCCTGTGAGAGGATAAAACCAGTTCCCACCTGCTTCCCCCACCCACCGCCCCGTGGGGAGAGGAGTGATAGAGTTTGCAGAGGTGGGGAGGGTGCCCCTCTTACACAGCTCCTCTGGGGTTTGTCAGTAGCCCCGGCTGCCGGGGGCGGGATTGGCAGTGAGGTGGAAGGACCGTGGGAGGGCCAGCTCTGTGGCGGTGCAGGGTGCTGGAGGTGGCCTGCGGCTTGACTGATTCCCAGGGCCAGGCTCCACTGTAGGCAGCTCCACATCAGCTAACACAGGCTGTCCCTTCCCCCGGGTAGCCACGGGGTTTAGTGGGTTCTGTGTAGCCCTCCTCCTGAGGCAGCCAGAACATGGTTCCTGCATGGGCCCCCGAGACACACAGGACCTCACCGTTAAGGCCAGGTTGGGAGGGGCAGGGCACTTTACCCATAGCTTGGTAAGGTGACTCTCCAGCCCTGGTGCCAAGGTTCCCCTCCACTCCCCACCCACCTCATCCTACTCCTGCTGGGCCTCTGCCCCACGACAGGGCTCTGGACTCTCCCTGGCACCACCCCCAGAAATCCCCCTTTGACACTATTGCAGAGCCTTATTCTCTCGGCTTAAATTGGACAGGGCCACCTCCGGGCTCCCTTGTGGAAAGACAGCCAGATTCACTCTCCCAGTGCAGCATGGAAAACAGAGACCCATAATAGAATAGGGAATAGATGACTTGCAAGCCAGAGGCTGCTGCTTGATTTCCCCAGTCCCAGCTCCTGGCTGAGTGGTTTCCTAGATCCCATGGACTCAGTCGAGCAAGCAGCCGGCCTGGAGAAAAAACCGCAGTTGGGCTATCCCAGAGAAACCTCTGGAGGGGCCGTTCTGGGCTGTGGTCATGCCCTTTGGCTTAACGCCTACAGGTGTTCGTGAGGGCAGGTGTTTCCATCCACCTTGCTTCCAGAGCTGGTGGAAGGAGCACAGGTGTCAGTACAGATGGACCCCACTTTAAGCCTTAAAAACATGACCAATTTTGGAAGCGATTATCCCCATTTTCCCCAAATCTTCTTGTAAACCAAATTATTCTCTTCTTAAAAAGCAAGTCTCCTTGTGTACACCAGTGTTTTGTGGGTGTGGTACAGGATTGGAATATACAGAAGATTCAGAAAATCTTAAGGACAAGCTCAAGATTCATTCTGCCTAGAGGTTTAATTAGAAACTAAGATAAAGTATCTGTGGCTAGCACAGGTTTTTTGGTTTTAAGTACTTTGACTTACAAAAGCTCCTTTACCTGGAACTTTTAAAGAAAATATGTAGTGCAAAGAACACGGAGGGGAAGGAGGATAATTTGAAATGACAGGTTGGCAGGGCAGGGTTTGTGAAGCCAGCAGAGATGCACACCCACCCAGCTGGGCCATCTCTTCCTGGGTAGTTTTGTATCTTCCTCAGCACTGCTTACCCAACAGGGGGCTCTGAACAGGCAGCAGAGAGAACCCTGCAGCAGGAACTGGCTCACAGAAGAGAAAAAAAATCATGGTAACAATGATAACTAACTTTATTCTGCACTTACTGTGTGCCAGGCACTATTCATAGTACTTCACATGTATCAGCCCATTTAATCTTCACAACCACCTTGCGAAGTAGTACTGTTATCTCCATTTTATGCATAAGGAAGTGGAGGCACAGAGAGGTTAAGAAACTTGGCCCACATCACATGGTTGTTAAGAAGAGGCCTAGACAGAATTTGAACCCAGGTGTTGTCTCTAAGACAGATACTTAGGCAATCCCTCTTGCTTTGTGAGTCATCAGTGTAAACTCTGCAGATCAGGCACAGGTTTGGGATGAGTAGCCCTAAGGATGCTCATGGGCTGGGTATTCCTGAGCTCTGACAACTTCTGGGAATGTAATGGTGGCCCTCTGGGGCTTCCTGCTGGGATCTTTTTGGGGTGGGGTAGATCCTATCAGTGGTTGAGGTTTAAATTCTGAACCTCAGTCCTCCCACCCCCAAGACAAAATGCCATGAAGAACTCTTTCCTTTGGTTAAGAGCAAAGCAGATATACAGTGGAAACAGAGGGATGTCCAGGGGTGGCCTTGAGTGTAGGCGACAGTCTCCCACCACCTTGCTGACTCTGGGCAGCTCTCATCACAGTCTCCCATCCCCCCAGCCAGAAGCTCCACCAGCCCTGCAACAAAGCTTTAAAGCTGGATTCTGTGGGACCATGTCTCAGTTAAAATGCAATACCCCTGCAAGCAAGTGCTTTGCAGCTTAAGTGATTACCAGCTAACGCTCTCACTTGGTTTATACTTGTGAGTGGGGGATTGCTTTAACAAATCTGTGAGAGCCAGCTGTTGCGGGGGAGTGGGGGAAAGTTTAGGATGACACATGGGAGAGGATAGTTGGGGGCAGTGTCTTTCTCGTGGGTTCCTACTCAGGTCCTGCCTACTGCTGGGCCCAGACTGAGGGCACAGGCAGAATGGGGCTTGTGGATGCCTCCATAGGGATGTGCTTTGGGAGGACTACGTGTGGAAGGTGGAGAGCCTTGGCTATTGGAGTGGGTGCAGGGGAAGACTTGAGCTCAGGGCAGCACCAGCTTGCTCACTCTCTCAGAGAAAAACAAAAAGCCACCTGGTTGGCAAGGGTGTGTAGGTGTGTGCTTTGTCAGGCAGGAAAGGGGAAGGGGTATTTAGATTAAAGGTTAGGATTTTTCCTGGTTTCTTGGGGATCTGTCTAACCGCCCTAGGGAATTAGGAGACCCCTTTATCTCGAAGGCGTCAGCATAGGTAAACAACTTTCAGAGCTTCCCCAGGCTTCTCCCAGCCTCACCTTGGCCTCTCCCCTGCCCATGCTTTCTTAACAGAGGGTTTGTCAGAGGATCTGTTGAGTTCTTCCTCTCTTTGACCTATTCACTTTTCTCTTTTTGTTCCTTTTTTCCCCCTCAAATTCCTCCTAATCTGCAAGTCCTACCCTGCCCCAGACCTAGCTATGACTCCCTCCTGGCCATTGCACCAAACCCTGTCTTCCATACACCAGTTGCCCAGGCCACCCCTAGATATGCTGGCCCCCTCCAGTCCCTGGAACACAGGACAAACCAGCTTCTCCCCTTGAGCTGGGCTGTGGTTGGTCTCCCATCCAGAAAGCCTCTGCCTCTCCCTCCAGCACCTTGTCTACCAGTCAGCATGCAACAAACCTGTGCCAAAAGCCTACTGAGCGTCCAGTACCAGACATTGTCCTTGTTTTAAAAATCAGTCTCAACATGGGGCTATCATAGGGTCCCAACTCCCAGGTATGATCCCCAAAGAATTGAAAATGTATGTCCACACACTAAACCTGTACGTGGATGTTCATAGCAGCATTATTCATCCGAGTCAAAAAGTAGAAACAAACCAAATGTCCATCAGCGGATGGATGGACAAACAAAAACGTGGTTTATCCAGCCAGGTGTGGTGGTGGATGCCTTGTTGTTCCAGCTACCTGAGAGGCTGAGGTGGGACGCTCGCTTGAGCCCAGGAGTTCAAAGACAACCTGGGCAGCACAGTGAGACTCCAGTGTCAAAACCAAACAAAACAAAAATGTGGTATATTGGCCGGGCACATTGGCTCACTCCTATGATCCCAGCACTTTGGGAGGCTGAGGCGGGTAGATCACCTGAGGTCAGGAGTCCAAGACCAGCCTGGCCAACATGGTGAAACCCCATCTCTACTAAAAAAAAAACAAAAACAAAAATTAGCTAGGCACAGTGGTACGTGCCTGTAATCCCAGCTACTCGGGAGGCTGAGGCAGGAGAATCGCTTGAACCAGGAGGCGGAGGTTGCAGTTAGCCGAGATTGTGCCATTGCACTCCAGCTTGGGTGACAAGAGCGAAACTCTGTCTCAAAAAAAGAAAAAAAAAAAGTGGTATATCCATGCAACGGAATATCACTCAGCCATAAAAAGGAATGAGATACTGACACATGCTATACCATGGATGATCTGGAAAACATTATGCTAAGTGAAAGAAGACAGACACAAGAGATCACATATCATTTAATTTATGTAAAAGTTCAGAATAAGGAAATCTGCAGATACAGAAACTAAATTAGTAGTTGCCTAGGGCTAAGGGTAAGGTGTGGAGATGAATGGGGAGTGACTACTAATGAATATAAGATTTCTTTTTTATTTTTATTTTTTGAGACATAGTCTTGTTCTTTTGCCCAAGCTGCAGTGAGGTGGTACGATCTCATCTCACTGCAAACCCTGCCTCCCGGGTTCAAGCAATTCTCATGCCTCAGGCCTCCCTAGAAGCTGAGATTACAGGCATGCGCTGCCACACCCAGCTAATTTTTGTATTTTTAGTGGAGACAGGTTTCACCGTGTTGGCCAGGCTGCCCTCGAACTCCTGACCTCAAGCAGTCCGCCTACCTTGGCCTCCCAAAGTGCTGGGATTACAGGTGTGAGCCACTGCGCCTGGCCTGGATATAAGATTTCTTTTTGGGGTGACAGAAATGCTCTAAAGGTAGATTGTAGTGATGGTTTTACAACTCCAAATATT
This sequence comes from Homo sapiens, assembly GCF_000001405.40. Classification (NCBI taxonomy): domain Eukaryota; kingdom Metazoa; phylum Chordata; class Mammalia; order Primates; family Hominidae; genus Homo; species Homo sapiens. The sequence goes on from NC_000001.11 coordinate 205,574,076, forward strand.
CTAAAAACCATTGAATTGTACGCTTAAATATGTGAATTTTATAGTATGTAATTTATATATCAATTTTTTTTAAGTTAAAAAAACCTCAAAGCCAGGTTCGGTGGCTCACACCTGTAATTCCAGCACTTTGGGAGGCCAAGGTGGGAGGACCACTTGAGGGCAGGAGTTCAAGACCAGCCTGGGCAACACAGTGAGACCTTGTCTCAAAAAAAATTTTAAATTAGCTGGGCATGGTGGTGCACACCTATAGTCCCAGCTACTCAGGAGGCAGAAGTGGGAGGGTCACTTGAGCCTGGAGGTTGAGGCTGTCGTGAGCCATGATTGCATCACTGCACTCCCACCTGAGCAACAGAGCAAGACCCTATCTCAAAAACCAAAACAAAAATCTCAAAACTTATACCATCCATTAATTCACTCATTCAACAAATACCTCTTGAGCCGGATCCTGTTTTAAGGGTGACTACAACAGACAAAGTAAAAGTCGCTGCACTCTTGGAGCCCACACTGTGGAGAATTTTACATTGTGAAATGAAGGAAATCAAGCAGGGTAGCATGGAGAGTGGCACATTTTGGGGGCCACTTAGCTAGGTGATCAAGGAAGCCCTTTCTGGGGAGATGATATTAAAGCTGACTCTTGCGCGACAGGAGAGAGCCAGGCGTGCAAAGAATTGAGGGAGAGGTGTTCCAAGTGAACAGACTGCAAGTTCAAGCTCAACCAACATCTAAGGAGCACGCCCTGTGTGCCTAGCACCATGGTGGGCCCCAGGGGATGCCATCATGCACAAGTTGCAGCTCCCAACCTCAGAGTCTAACAGGGTGGTCCTGCCGTAGCTTGGAATCTCCCCAAAGACCAGTTTGTCTGCCCCTCCCTTTGGATCTCTCCAGCTTTAACATGGGGCCCTTAACAACTGAGGTGTCAGTGTGAAGGCTGGGGTGACCAAGTTAGAGGGGGGCCTTTTTATCCCTGGCCTTGCCCTCAGTCTCAGCTGCCCCTTCCCCATCAGCCTGGCCTGAGATAGAGTCACCAGCCTGCCCTAGCTCCCAGGGGGTCCCTTGTCTACTGGTTTCTTGTCCCAGGTCCCCAAACCATCTCCTTCTGGGCTGCTGCCCCTTTTGGGGTGGATAGGGGCTAGGGACACTTCCATCCGTGACTCTTCCACATTTCTGCTCCCTGCCCTTCTCCCCTGGTCCTTCGAGGAAGGAGATTTTCCAGGCTGGGAGGGGAGAGGTGGGAGGAAGATGTCCTAAGCATCCCTGCTGGGCAGAGGGATCACCTGGGACAAACATGTGAAGAGAATGTCGATGCCATCAGGCCCTACCCAGGGTGGCATGGGGGCTGGGCTTCAGCAGCATTCTTCCCCACCCCTGGGGTGGCAGGCAGGAATGGGCTGCCTGGCATCTTACTGCTCAGGCCCTTCCCCTGTTTCAGAGCCAACTATTCCCTCCTCTTTTCACAGAACCAGGAAGGCAAGAACAGGTGCTCAAGGCAAGGCCAGGTCAAAGTGATCATGTATGCCCTGTGGGTAAGGCAGAGCATGGGGCTGAAGGGGGCAGCAGCAGCTCAAGGTCACCCAGCAACAGGGGCTGGGCAGGCAGCTCCAGCAGAGCCACAGCTCACCTGGGGGAGAACTCAGGCTCCTTCCTCTTCCCTCTCCCACTTAGACCTTCTGTGTGGAGCCATTAATAAGTAACTTGGTCATTTCTGAGACTTCCTGAAGTAGGTTTTCCAGACTGTCCAGGCTATATCTTGGGTCTCTCTGGGCCTTGGGGAAAGTGAGGCTCTTTCTCTAATTGGCCTGAATTAACCTGTGAGCCCAGGACCAGGGGAGGGAAGACCAATGCCACTCTGCCACTCTGCTGGCTTTGCCTGGGTTGGGAGCCAAGACTTTGGATCCTGGCTCAGTTCTACTCCTCTCTTTTCCCCTATCTGGGCCTCAGTTTCCTGATCTGTAAAATGAGGGACAGGACTCATGTCATTGCTGCCACCTTAGCTGGGACGCTGCCCAGGGTGGAGAGTGAGTGGGGCGGGGGACAAGAGGTAGGAGCAGGGGTATCTCCCTCCAACAGTTCCTGGGCCAGCCTCCCAGGGTCACCCCAAAGGGCACTGCAGCAGGAATAGGGGCAGGCCTGGGAGGGTAGAATCTGGGAGCTGGCACTGGTCTCTGTACCCTGTCAGCTCAGTGCAGTTCTCTGGGCCCAACATTGCTCTTTGGGGAAGCCAGGGCCAGCAGGGAGGCAGTGAGCACCTGGGAGGGGTGGCAAGTGGCCAGGGGAAAATCCCAGAGAGTGAGCAAAGGAGGATGAAATGTCACATCACATGGACTCCTCGTGGCAGCCCCAACCTCATGCAGAGCTTGTTATCCCCATTTTACAGCAGAGGAAACTGAGGCTCAGAGGGGCTAAGCATAAGTGGCTTGCCCAAGCCACATCTCTGGGAAGTGGCCAAGGTGGGCCTAGAACCCAGTATTCTGATTCCAGATCGCACTCCATCCTGGATGCCAAAACTGTTTTGACATGGTTATTCCATAATTTTTAATTATCCACATTCCTAGAAGGGGCTATTGACCAAGCCATTTAAAACAGGCAATAAATGTATTTCGGTCTGGCTCTGGGATGTGTCTGGGACTTCCTTTTCCTTGGCAACAGCATATCATTCTAAAGAAATTTGTTCAGGCTGATGTTTGGAATGCCCAGGCACAGCCCTATGGAAGCAACTGGGGAGGGTGGGCAGCCTGGGATCTACAGACAAGATTTCCTGTGATACAGATGTCCCCATTTATTGGGAACAGGTCTCCATCGCCCTAACCTCCAGGCCTATCAAACTAAAATCACAGTCCAGGGAGATGCAGGGAGGGGATTTCCCAGGCGTGGTTCTCTCCAACCTCCCTTTTCCGTCTTTTCTCTCTTTATCCCTCCCTCCTGCCTGTGGCTGAGCCTGGGACAAACCATACCTCCAGTGGGCACCTAGTGTCCTTCTCAAGAATGACAGGTGAAAGGAGACAAACAGCAGTGAACAGGACAGAGATGAGACCTGGACAGGGCTTCCTGACCCCTTCCAGCCCTTACTGACCCCTTCTCTTTTTCCCAATCCCCACTGTACACCGGGCACCTTCCTGGCAACCCGTCCCTACATGATTCTTTCTCTGCCTCTATCTCTGTCTCCCCTATCAGATAAACTAGCAAAACTCCCACATCGGCCTCCCAGCAGTGCCCAGTCCCTTCTACCAGGCCACCCCATGTGGGCTGGCAAGACAAGCGTTCCCCAAGCACTGCGCCGGTCACTAGCCACGTCCAGGAACCTGGGTTGAGCGTCTCTGCAGAGCCGAACATGGGGCCAGGCATGGCTTCCACAATGAACAGGCAGAGGCAGATGCCTGGGGAAGCTGGTGGTGGAGCCAGCAGTGATGCTCGCGAGCATGTGGATCTCTGCTAACCCCCGCAGAGGGGTGTTAGAGGCGCATGTTCTAGAGACCGCAGCTGCTCTCCAGTGCTTCCTAGCCTTGCCATTCAACGCTCTGCAGAATCTGGCCTCCTATTCTCGGCTGGCACTCCCCTCTCCAGCCTGGCTGGGTCCGTGGCTCCTTCCTCTCCCCTCCTGCATTTGCACCTTCTGAGTGGAGCCATTAGCGAGTAACTCAGTCACATACCCATACACATGCACCCACATGTGCACGCACACACACTCCTCCCTGGAAAAGCAGCATAGCATAGGGACTATCAAGCCAGAAGACCTTGGTTAGAGTTCAGGCTCTGTCTGCTGCTATCTTAGCTTTTCTCAGCCCGAGTTTACTCACTGGTCAAATGGGCACAACGACAAAGCCTGCTTCATAGCCTTGTCATATGAACCAAGTGACAAACGTTAGCAGTTGTCAGCAGACCGTAGTACTCGCTATCATCCTGGTTTCCTTTCCCATACCTCTGCGCAGCCCCTGCCCCTGTCAGTTTACTGATCCCAGGTCCCGTTCCCCTCAGGACTTTGCTGCAGGATGGATGACTTCACTTTCCTGCAGGATTGAAAGACAATAATGATAATGAGCTAGTTCTTCGAGAGAGTTTTTGCACTTGCCTTGGGGCATCCCTGCTTACGCAAAGTGGTGAGTGAGGTGGTAGAAATGTCATGTCCTGGTACCCGTGTCAGTAGAGGGACCTCTGAGAGTGCAGACAGGGGACTCTCTGGCTATCCCTGAAGTCAGGCCACCTAGGAGGCTGCCTAGTCTGTCTTGTCCAGGGAAAGGGAGGGGAAAGAGAGAGAACTATGATGAGCAGCCTGCTGTTTTATCAGCCCACGGTGTGTGTTAGCATTGCCTCCCCATGACGCACTCTCCCTCCATCTCCTAACAGCTGGCCTTGAGGTTGGTCCCCCTCTCCTCCCCCATGAGTTCTGAGCTGGGAACATGCTGGGGTCATGACTGTCATGATCGGTAATCTCCCCAGCAGATCAGCCTGGAAACAAGAAAGGAGAAAGTAACGAACTGCTCTATCAGCAGAGCCATTCTGATAGAGGATTTAATCAAAGATGGGGCAAGATGAGATGGCTGAGGGCCAAGGCCAAGAGCCAAGGGGGTCAGGGGCAGAAGCTCTGGGAAGACAGCCTGAGTGATCACTGGGGCCCTCCTCTTTTTTTTTCAGTGTGAAACTCAGAGAGGCCTTTCCCCCTCCCCTCTCTCAGCTCCCACCTTTCCAGGTCCAGCAGCCACACTGGAGGCTGATGGGGTGGGGGGCTCTCTCCCTTTTCATAATCTGAGAAAGTTCCTCTACAACCTCCAGAACCTGCCTGCTGCCCAATCTCTCCTCTCTGACATTAGACTTTCAGACTGGTCTCAGAAAATACAAGTCTTTATCCTTTCTCTGAGAGTCTGGTTATTGGGCAGAGTGTCCCAAAAAAGACCTTGACAGAGCCTTAGACACTCCATCCAATCATTCATTCATTCACTGATAGGGTAGCAGGCCCTCCCCCTGCCTGCTGTGGGCTTTTCTATTATCTGAAAAAGGGGAAGATCAACACGGTCACCTTTCAGTGTGTATGGCCACAGCCCCTCCTTTCCCCACTTCTGCACATTTGCCAGGCACAGAGCCTGCGACCTCTGCCTGCTACAGGGGTCATCAAATCACCTGAATACCTGGGTTGTGGGCGCTGGTGTGGGCGTCTCAGGCCGGGTGCCTGTGAAGCAATGGCGTCCTCACCATTCCTGTGTGGGGAGGACACAGGGCAGCCAGCGCCAATTCCTGGGCAAGAAGAAATGCCCAGCTCTGAGACTTCTGGGCTCAGGTTCCATCCAGGTGGGTCCCACCTGCGGTTGCATGCCTATGACACATGCCTCTTGAGATGCTCAAAACAGGTTCCCTGAAAAGGGTGGGGAATATTTTTGCATTTAATTGCTTTTAAGTAAACAATTTAGGGTTTAAGGAAATAACGTGCAATTGTTTGTAAGTAGAATACTAGTGGCTAGGCTTTGTGAAGTGTCCTGCAGCCACCTTGTGAGGTAGATTGTTATCTGAGCAGACTTTGACAACTTGCCCACAGCTAATAAGTGAGCAGCTTCTTCCTCAGCTCTCTTCCTTTTCTACCAGAGGGGGAGAAATGTCTTGGCTGCCCAGACCACCCAGTGAATGGAGGAGAAGGGGGAGGGGATGCTTCCAGCCCCATCCCCTGACATCACCCTTCCCTCCTGCAGCCTGGCCCAGTCACTATGGGCCCTGTTCACCTCCTCTCTGGCCATCTCCCTGGTGTTTGCCGTCATCCCCTTCTGCCGCGACGTGAAGGTGCTGGCCTCAGTCATGGCGCTGGCGGGCTTGGCCATGGGCTGCATCGACACCGTGGCCAACATGCAGCTGGTAAGGATGTACCAGAAGGACTCGGCCGTCTTCCTCCAGGTAAGCCCGGCCAGCAGGCACAGGGCTGGGAGCTGGGGAGGGCATGGGAGCTCCCTAGGCCCCCTCAGTCTCTCCCAGCCTCCTCCCCCAGGGGCCCACTTACCAGCTGGGTTAGTAAGTTCTAGACTCGGTTTTCCCATCTCTAAAGCAGAGCAGTGATCCCTGCCCTCACTGCAGGGTGTCCCAGGAGCCTAAGCGCTTGGGAAAGAAAGCTCTTTGCGAACTGGAAAGGTGGTGTGACTCAGGGCTTGCCTCCCCTCTCCTTCCCCTCCTTCCCTCTCTCTCCTTTCTTCGTCTTTCTCCCCCCGGGATTCAGCCAGCCCTTCCCTTTTTGTGCCCAGGATTCAGCCAGCCCTTCCCTTTTTGTGCCCCCTTCCCTTTAGGGTGTTAGCTGGTGGATGCTAACATGGTGATCAGTCCCAGCTGAGGATTAACAGAGATGGGGAGGGAATTGGGCACTGTCACCCGAGTCATCCCAGGCTGGCAGGGTGGTTGAGAGAGGTGTGTCACTCCTCACCTCCCCTCACCTCTCCTGCTTCCTGCACCCATGGCTCCCCATTCCAGGGCTGGGCAACAGCCCCTACATGGGGCAGAGGGTGGGGCTGGGGGAGGGGGCTCAGTGTGGGTCCTCTGGACCGGAGGCCAGGCCACCACTTCCCCGGGCTGAAGACTGACCCCCACCCCCACCCGCCACCTCTCCTCTGTCCCCAGGTGCTCCATTTCTTCGTGGGCTTTGGTGCTCTGCTGAGCCCCCTTATTGCTGACCCTTTCCTGTCTGAGGCCAACTGCTTGCCTGCCAATAGCACGGCCAACACCACCTCCCGAGGCCACCTGTTCCATGTCTCCAGGGTGCTGGGCCAGCACCACGTAGATGCCAAGCCTTGGTCCAACCAGACGTTCCCAGGGCTGACTCCAAAGGACGGGGCAGGGACCCGAGTGTCCTATGCCTTCTGGATCATGGCCCTCATCAATGTGAGTGTCCCTGGGGTGGGCCAGGTAGGGAGCTAGTGGACAGTCCACACATCCCAGTCCACCCCACACCCAGTGAAGATTCTTCAGATGCTGAGAAACGTGCTGGGGCTGAGGTGTGCATCCCAGAGGCAGGAGGATGGGAGGACAAACCCTCCCCGGGATCCCCTGCACTACTCCACCATCCTTCAGCGACCTGTGATTGCAGTTCTCAAGGAGGGTAAAACAGTGAGCTGAGCACAGTGAAAATCAGGGTCAACTTTCGAATTATCTGAGGTTCTGTGGGAAACTAGTTTTTTCCTCCAAGGCCAGATGAAGTGGACCCTGGACAGACCCCGGCAGGAAGTGGAAGGTTTTTCTCTGGGTCCCTTCATCAATGGTGGGATTCTCCTGTGCCCTCCTGTCAGGGGCTCCTGTGGAGGCTAGGAGACAGACAAGATGACCTCTGAAGGGCCCTGCCTGCCAAGGCAGCCTATGGTGGGAACAGCGAGAGACCACTTCACCCCGTGACTGCGTCACATACCGAGGCCCGCTTTGTACACCCCTGCCAAGTCAGCACTGACTCTGGCCTCCAGCTGGAAACCTCCTCTGGTGCTCTGCAAACCCAAGTTGGGATCTCTCACGTTAGCCCAGACTGGAGCCAGAGTGTCAGGTGGGGAGACCCCCTACCCCCATCCACCTGGGTTGGGGAGGACTGTCGGGAACACCAGAGCATCCCTGGCTCCTGGGCCGGGGGTGGGGAGCATTACAGTGGCCACTGTCTTGGCTGTGGGATGGAGGCACCATGCTGCTTGTCATGGTGGCTTAGAGCCTCTCTTTGCAGTAGGTGGACTTCTCAGCTCTCCTGGGGCAGGTGGGCTGGACTCAGGCACTAGAGCAGCTGCCCAGCTGCTGCTGAGCCTCAGAATATGCCACACACATAGCACTGAAAGGAGCCTTTGAGACCACCATTCCAGTGAGCAGCAGGGCAAGGGTGGGGGTGTCATGCCATCACCAGCTCAAAGCCCTGACAAGGGACTGATAGGAGGCTGAGCCCGGCTGGAAGCCCTGACCCTCAGCATAGACCATCTACCTGCTGCCCCCTCATCACCAGTCCTTTTCCTTCCTTTCCTTTGTAGATTTCCTTTCCCTGGCCCGAATCTCCTCTGGGGGCTCTCATAAACCCACCCTCTCCGTCTGCTCCTTCCCTTTTCAGCCCATGCCCATCCATTGTTTTGGAAAGAATGCGGCTTTGGGCCCGTTCCTTCCAGGAGAGACCTGCGAAGGAAAGGAGCAGTGTCAGTAGAACCTCTAGGCTGAGACTCCCAGACCAGGAAGCCGGAAGGTCCGGCTTAAGCCCGAGGTTTGTTCTCTCTTGCCCCATGAAGTGCAGGCTGGAGGGACTTTGTTTGCTGCAGGATTTCCGGACTTTTTCTATTGGTTTGTGTCTGAAAATAAACAGTCCAGCACGGAGGAAGATGGGCTGTGCATGTACTCATGTGGGTGCACACGCACACACACATGTGCACCCCACCTGCCCTTCTCTGACTTTTAAGGTGGGGCTGCCTTCCCTGAATGGAATTCTTATAAAATTGGGTGTGTTCCTGCCAGCAATGCCAGCCAATCCTCTGTGAAGCCCTTCCCAGCACCCACCTCCCTGGAAAGCCCCACCTGAGCGATCACGCCTCTTGTACAGCTGTTTCCACTTGGCCTTCACTCAGGCACTCTGCCACTACAGGCCTCTGTGGGTGGGTTTCCTGTTTCCCCCCTCACACTGGAGGAAGGGCTGTGTCTCCCCCATTAGGGCTCAGCAGGGGCTGTTCTCTCCCCACTCAGGCCTGACTGCCAGGGGCCATGTCTGACCTTGACTTCTTTTTGAGTGTGCAGAAAGGCTCCCAAGGTCACCATAGGGAGGTGCCAACACAGGGGTGGTTTTTGTCTTTCACTCCTGTTAGGTGACTTGAGGAAATACTGGTGAGAGCCAGCCTGCCTCCAGGGGCAGGGAAGGGCTCCCCCAGAACACCACCAGGCAGGGGCTGGCAGTCTGCCAGCCTTCCATCTCTATCCTATGCCTCTCCCGTGGGCCAGGAAGAGCCCAATAGCTGGGCGCTCTCACCAGCCTCTGGGAGACATCTGCAGCTCCCTGGGCTTCCTGTCTTTCCTAAGTGAAAGGAACTGGGCTGAAGTTGCAGCAAGAAGGACAATAGTTAGACTTGATGCGGTACTTCCTGGCAACCAGGGTGGTGAGACACAAGCAGGGGCCCCTGAGGGAGGTGGTGGAGGCTTCCCCAGGCAACCTCAGAAGCAGGAGCCATTTCCCACTGCTCTGAAGGAGTTCCGATTTAGCATAAATAGCAGCAAACTGAACATAGGGCTTATGTGTACAGGCTGTTCGTAAACATGTATTTCTCAATCAAAAGGAGATCATGTTTTTGTTTTCAAGCCCCTGAGAAGAGCCTCTGTGCCCTGCTAGGATCAACATCACCAAGGCATCTCCTTAGGTAGAGACAGCACTGGAAGGATCAGGATGCCAGGCTCCATTCTGGCTTTGCCCCAAGTCCACTGTGTGACCAGGGCAGTCTCTCAGTCTCTAGTTTACCCCTCAGATCTCTTCCAGTTCTAACAGGTTACGACTAAGTGATAACATCCCCCAGCATGTTTTGTAGAGATGTGATGCCCAAAAGCAAAGCTGCTTTGTAAAGCATCACGCAACCCACCAGCATGAAGGAGTGTGAGGTGTGACACTCCAGCAAGCTTACTCCCAGCACCTCTCCTGGGCCAGCAGAGAGTTTGAGTCTAAGCTTTGCATGCGACAAATATCTGTCTTTTCAGGGACGCGAGTATGGTGATCAGGCAGCAATTACAGCAGGCCTCCCCACTCCTACCTTGGTCAAGGCACCTGGCTTCTTAGGTTGGGATGGCTCAGCTTTTAGCTGGGCACCCTTAGAAAAGAGCTGTCTTCTCCCAGGACTATGCACATGCAGTGTGTGCAGAGGCCAGGCGTGGGAAGGGGGAGCTTCAGGGCAGGGCTCTCCTGACCCTCTGCCTGCTCCCCAGCTTCCAGTGCCCATGGCTGTGCTGATGCTGCTGTCCAAGGAGCGGCTGCTGACCTGCTGTCCCCAGAGGAGGCCCCTGCTTCTGTCTGCTGATGAGCTTGCCTTGGAGACACAGCCTCCTGAGAAGGAAGATGCCTCCTCACTGCCCCCAAAGTTTCAGTCACACCTAGGTAGGGGCTCTAATGAATCTGCATCCTCACAGCCTCATGTTGAGGCTTCCTTGGTAACCCCTCTCCCAGAGAGAGTGAACCTAGATCACAGGTGATTTTTTTTTTTTTTTTTTTTGAGACAGAGTTTCACTCTCGTCGCCCAGGCTGGAGTGCAGTGGTGCAATCTCGGCTCATTGCAACCTCCGCCTCCCAGGTTCAAGCGATTCTCCTGTCTCAGCCTCCCAAGTTGCGGGGATTACAGTCACATGCCACTACACCTGGCTAATTTTTGTATTTTTAAAGTAGAGAAGGGGTTTCGCCACGTTGGCCAGGCTGGTCTCAAACTCCTGATCTCAGGTGATCCATCTGCCTCGGCCTCCCAAAGTGCTGGGATTATAGGTGTAAGCCACCATGCCTGGCCACAGGTGATAGTCCTTTTTTTTTTTAAAAAAAAAAAAAAAAAAGAAAATCTTGGCCCTGATGGTGCAACCTGACCAAGAGAATGAGGAAGGCAGACTTCTGACTTCACCCTCCATTCTGCTCAGCCTTGCCTTTTGTTACCTTGGGCAAGTCACCTGACCTCTCTGAGCCTTGGCTCCACCAAGACTGGGAGATGGACAGGGGTTATTCCTAACAGAAAGGTCGTGAAAGTAGAGGCAGTAAGTGGGCCCCATCCTGCAGGGCTCTTCTGACTGCCAGCCACGGCCCTGGGACATGCAGAGGGAGGGAGCAGAAGCTGAGACTCACCCCTGTTCTTCCTGTGCCTCCTGCAGGGCATGAGGACCTGTTCAGCTGCTGCCAAAGGAAGAACCTCAGAGGAGCCCCTTATTCCTTCTTTGCCATCCACATCACGGGCGCCCTGGTACTGTTCATGACGGATGGGTTGACGGTGAGCCTGCCTCAGAGGGCGCCCCCTACTGGGGGACCCTTCACCCCCAGACTCCAGTCTGGGAAAGGCAAGAGAAAGAGAGGAGCATGAAGGTTTCCTGGAGACTTCTCCTGGAGTACACTTGATTCAAAAATTTAATCTGAAGTCCTAGGGTGACTGTCTCCAGAATCAGTCACAGCACGTTGGTACTATGGGCTTCTGTCTTGGCCAATTGTTTTTTATTTTTGTTTTATTTTTGTTAATGCTATAGGTAGGGGCCTAACTGGTCTGTTGTCAAGGACAGGCTACCTGCATTTTTTAAAGGGGTGGTGCCCTATTCCCCAATTAGAGGTCATGCTATATAAACAGGGTACTTTGCTTCCTGGAATACATTACAAACCTGGGTGTCTCGAGCCAGTGTTGTAAACAAGCTTCAGGTGGAATTTAGGCCCAGCTGTTCATGCCACTAGTGACCTCTGTTACATTAGTTAGCACCTTTTTCCAGAAACTTCTTAGGATTATATTAGGGCAGTCGTGAATGGCTGATCAACTGATTGCCATATGATGACCTCTCCAGAGAAAAAGCCCTAAAAACTTAGATGACCTGGTGGAAAGTACTCGTGACAGTACTGGTTGACTTCCAGCACTGGGTGTGACCTCGGGCAAGTCACTTCTGTCTGCTTTCTCATCTGTAAAACCAGATGCTTGCACACACCTTTTTTTTTTTTTTTAAGTCATGTTCTGCTCTGGTTGAAGTGGGGAGCAGTGCCTGTCTGCCCAGGCCCTGCGGGCACTCCCATGGAGATCCAGAGCCACCTCTCTGGAACCCCTAGGTCTCCACAGTGCAGTCTGTAAGCTAAGGCACCCCAGCTTCTGTCCTCAGCTTGAGCCAAGTGTGTAGTGTGGCCTTGACTCCAAGCCCAGCCCTGGCTGAGCCTCTGGGAGTGGGAACAGGCAGTCCTCCCTCTGCCCTCCCCACACCTGCCCAGCCTGGGCTCCCTTTGTGAGGGTCATTGTCTGGCTGGGCTGCAGGTGTGCTCAACAGCGCCCGGTCTCTCCACAGGGTGCCTATTCCGCCTTCGTGTACAGCTATGCTGTGGAGAAGCCCCTGTCTGTGGGACACAAGGTGGCTGGCTACCTCCCCAGCCTCTTCTGGGGCTTCATCACACTGGGCCGGCTCCTCTCCATTCCCATATCCTCAAGAATGAAGCCGGCCACCATGGTTTTCATCAACGTGGTAAGCAGCTGAATAGCCTCCTCTCTCTTCTGAGAGACCCAGGAGAAGCCGCCTCCTCCTGGCCCTACCCCAGGACGTTTGCCCAGGCCTACATTCTGCCAGCAGGATGGGAACTCAGGAGTAGAGGGAAGAGAGGAGAGAGAGGATGACGAGGAAGGGGTGGGAGCCTGGGAGGTGGAGCCTACCTGGGTGACCATGAAAAGTCCCTTCCCCTCTCTGGGCTGCTGATCTTATACCCTTAAAACATAAAAGGAAAGGTCTGTAGGAGGTGCTGGCTGCAGTGTGTGGAGCCCATCCCAGCCAACAACTGGCTATGAGCGTGAGGAAAGCCAGTGCTGGCCCTGGTCCTCCTGTGTTTACCTTGGTGCCCAGCTGCTCAGAGCCCTCCAGTCAGTGGAAAGCTGTGGAGGCCAGGGATCCCACAACCGTCGGAATCACTGCCTCTGGGCTGGGGCCTGGGGATTTGCATTTGGTAGCTCTCCTAGGTGACTCTTTTTTTTTTTTTTTGAGATAGGGTCTCCCTTTGTCACCCAGGATGGAGCACAGTGGTGTGATCTCAGCTCACTGCAACCTCTGTCTCCCAGGTTCAAGTGATTCTCCTGCCTCAGCCTCCCAAGTAACTGGGATGACAGGTGCCTACCACCATGCCTGGCTAATTTTTGTATTTTTAATGGTGATGGGGTTTCACCACGTTGGCCAGGCTGGTCTTGAACTCCTGACCTCTTAATGATCCACCCGCCTCGGCCTCCCAAAGTGCTGGGATTACAGGAGTAAGCCACTCTGCCTAGCGCTAGGTGATTCTTAAGTAGGCAGGACATGGAGGATGACCTTCAAGGAACTGATCTGCCTAGGAGGCAGGAGGTCTGGGCCTGAGCAGTGGGTTAAGACCCTTGCCTTGGTGTGTCCATCCAGGTCACCATCCATGACACAGGGGTCCACATTACAGACTTCTGCCAAATTGTCTAGTCCAACCTCCCATCAGGCTTGAGCCACCTCTATCTATAACATCCCTTCCAAGGGGTTCACTGTCTGCTTAAACACCTCTAGTAACTGCAACTCACTACCTTTCCAAGTAGCCCAATGAGGGTACTAAGTCCAGGTAAGAAAGCATTTCCTTGGTTGAATTTCTAGCAGAGAGCGGGTTTGGACATAAGGTTGCAGTTTCAGAGACAAAGATCATGATCCCCAAGAAAGGCCTTTGGATTTGACCTCGTGCCAGTTGACCCCCAAGAAAGAAATTTCAGTTCAATGTAGATGGGAGGTAGGTGATAAACCCAAACGCAAGAGGTTGAGGGTGAGAGGGAGATGAGCAGTGGAGGAATTTGCATTTCTCTTTGTAAATATTTTTGAGTTGAAGGGAGTTGTGTTCTGCAGGACTCAGGGTGGTATGGGCCTGCTTATAGTAGAGGATAAAGGGAGGACACCTATTAGGAGGAGGAGTCTGTGAAAATACCATTGTGAGAGAGTAACCGAGTGAGGAAGGCCCTGACAGAGGGGAGGTGGGATGGAGAGCGGGAGTGGAGGAGGCTCTAAGCTCAGCAAGGAGGAAGGCCCCTGTCCATGGAGTTGGGGCGAAACGATGTCAAAGGGGAAAGGTTCCAGAAGAGGAAGGGCACAGACATGGGGCCAGCCCTGGCTTCCCTGTCTAGGTCAGACACAAGGCCAATTGCTAAGACAGAGGAGAGTGGGTGGAAATCTGGGTTTGGGAAAATAAAGGTCTGAAGCATCCACATATGTTAGGCATTGCCCATAGACACTCACCTGGAGTGCTGGGTTTTAAAAAGGAAAATCAGGTTCCTGGGCCCAACCCAGACTGAGTGAATCCGAATGTCCAGGAGGAGGCATAGCAATCTATAAATTAAACAAATACCCCAGGGGAATTACATCATCCAGCAAGCTCAGGAAAACACTGTCCTAGAACAAGTGACTCCCAAATACATTAGATTCACTGGAGCTGCTTTTTGAAAATAGGATCATGAAAAGGCCAGGCGCGGTGGCTCACACCTGTAATCCCAGAACTTTGGGAGGCCGAGGCGGGTGGATCATGAGGTCAGGAGTTCGAGACCAGCCTGACCAACATGGTGATACCCCATCTCTACTAAAAATACAAAAATTAGCCGGGCGTGGTGGCGCCTGCCTGTAATCCCAACTACTCAGGAGGCTGAGGCAGGAGAATCACTTGAACCTAGCAGGCAGAGGTTGCAGTGAGCTGAAATGGTGCCACTGCCCTCCAGCCTGAGAGACAGAGCAAGACTTCAAATCAAAAAAAAAAAAAAAAAAAAAGAAAGAGAAAATAGGATCATGGACCCCTACCCCAGAGATTCTAATTTAGGAGGTATGGAGAAGAGCCTGGGCCTCTGGGTTGTTTTGGAAGCTTTCCAGCTGCTTTTGTGGGCACCCTGTTTGGGAACTGCAGCTGAGTGGCCCTGAGCAAGCCTCTCCTGTGTAGATGTGAAGTGCCTGTGTCATATTCACTGTGACTACTTCCGAGTATTCCTCTCTAGGTTAAATTAATGGCCACCCTGTTCTCAGCATTCTCCTGGAGCTCAACAGCTACTTCCTGACTTAGTATGTTTGTGCTATGTGCAAAGCCCTGCTGCAAACTGCAGGCCGCCAAGTTCTGGAAGACAAGGTTCTTGCTTCCAGGGAGCTTACGGCCGGCCAGAGGAGGGCAGTGTGCCCCAGCACAGATGGAGGGTGAGGGTGTAGGCAGTGGGGATGCAGGCTCAGTACCAGACTGAGTCACTGGCTGAGGCAGGGGCCACACTGCGTGGGAAGAGAGTTGGTGGAGCTGATAGTTCGTCCTGGTTAGTCTTCTATCACCAAGGCTAAAATAAGACTCGGGTGTCTTTCAAACTTCCCCAAATTTAGGGATTTTCAGGGTGACGGTCTTTGAGGCATGGCTGGAAATGCATGTGGTTTGTACATGGGGTAGCCAGGTGGAAGAAGAGGAGCAGGAGTGGCGGCTTCCAAACCCCGGCATCTGTCCCAGGCTCCTAAGTTGAACACTGAATATTAAGAAGGTGCCAGCCCCTGAAGGCAGGAGGTGAGCAGGCCTGGCTGAAGTTCAAAGGCCCGTGTTCAAAGGCCTGGGTTAGGGGCTAGGAGGCTAACTTGGGGGGAGCACGGTAGGCAGGGTGGGGGATCGGGAGCAGAAAAAGATGAGGATGGGGAAGTAAACAGGGGCTACATCCTCAGGGTTTTGTAAGGTGGGCTTTGAATTTTATTCTAAGTGGGCAGGAAGCCAATAGGTTTTAAGCAGGTCTGCGTTGCATTTTCTTTTTTCTTTTTATTTTTTTGCATCTCACAGATACATTTATTCATGCTATGAAGTAAACGACACTTATACAGGTGCCCCGTGATGTTTCACATTTCCATCTAACATAGCTTGCATTGCATTTTTAAAATTTATTATTGTTTTTTTTAGAGAGACAGGGTCTCACTATGTTGCCCAGGCTGGTCTTGAACTCCTGGGCCCAAGCGATCCTTCCTGCCTCAGCCTACCAAAGTGGTAGAACTAGACAGGAGCCACCATCTCCAGCCACTTGCACTGCATTTTAAAAGTGCACTCCAGTGTGGAAGAACAGACTGTAGCTGGCAAGAGTCAAACACAGACTGTCTGTTATTGTAGTCCAGGCGCAAGAGGGAGGTGGCTGGGATGGGGTGGTCTGGATGGATCTGGAGCAGTACAAGGATCGAACATGTTTTTTGAGATGGTGTGGACAGGACTTGTTGCTGACCCAGGTGTGGGAGGTAAGGAAAGGAGGAATCAAGGACCTTAGACACAGGACTTGAGCAACTGCATGACTGGGATGCCCTCACTTGATGTGTGCAGGAGTAGGATTGGCAGAGGAAATTAAGAGTCTAGTTTGGGCCACATGGTTAGTCATCCAGGGACTGACTATATCCAAGGGGCAGCTTTAGGTGCAAGTCCGGAGTCCTGGACACAGCTCATGGCTAGAGGGATAGATACAAGCATGCCTGCTGTAGAGGCAGGTGAAACGTGGAGCAGGGCACTGCGGACATGGAAGAGCCAGAAGAGAATCCTGGGCCACCCCAACATTGAGAGAGTGAACAGAGGGGAAAGCAAGAACAAATGGATCTCAGGGACCATGTTCTGTGCCAAAGAAAGACATGACCTTTGGAACCATAGTTATGCTATGACTTTCATATTTTTACTGCATGAAAGAAGTCTTTTGTCTTTCCATTTCCATTCTGAAGGGAATGTGTTTCTCTCCTTCGGCCACTGTTTTGTGGCTGATCCCTCCCCAGGGAAGGAAGTCTGTCTGGGTAAGGCCTCTGAGCCTCGAGACCACCTTCCACCTAACAGATCCTGTGGCAGAGACGGAAGGGCTGCTAGAGGAGCGTAAAGGCCTCAAGGATTAGGAGCACCGGCTTTGATTTTCCAATTGGAGCAACTCTCCCAGGATCGGCTCCCAACCCTGAAAGTCTTTCCTTTCTGCATGCCCAGAAGTGGAGGGGTTGGGAGCTGGATGAGATTTCTTGCCTAGCTCTATAGTCTGTACTTACTTTTTAAAGAAACAGATGTCTTCATCCAGGAGATTTTTACCTCAAAGCCATAGGCTGCTATAGAAGATCCTTATCTCCTGAGACGTCTAAGAAAAGCCCACAGAGAAACACTAGGACTCATATTTGTCTGAAGCACCACAGTTTACAGAGCCCCTTCATCTGTATTATTTCACCACCACTCTTTAGTGTGGCTTTTGTAACTATTCCTATTTTGCAGATTAGGAAGTTAAGAATCAGAGCAATCAGCTACTTCTGGGTTCCACAGCTGGTAAAAAACACATCGGGACTTCCACCTGGGTCTTCTGACCCCAAATCTTGTGCTGCCTGGGTTTATTCCCAGATACATCTTGCACAGAAGTGACTCAATGCAGACATAAAAACGTGTTTAAAGAACTTAGAAATATGGTTATATTAACAAAAACATGCCTGTATGACAGAGACCTTTACTGAACTAGAAAGATTTGGCTGGGCGTGGGGGCTCATGCCTGTAATCCCAACAGTTTGGGAAGCTGAGGCAGATGGATTGCTTGAGCCCAGAAGTTCAAGACCAGCCTGGGCAACATGGCGAACCCTTTCTCGACTAAAAATACAGAAAATTAGCAGGCGTGGTGGCACATGCCTGAGGTCCCAGCTACTCAGGAGGCTGAGGTGGGAGGAACGCTTGAGCCCTGTAGGTCGAGGCTGCAGTGAGCTGAGATTGCACCACTGCACTCCAATTTGGGCAACAGAGTGAGACCCTGTCTCTCAAAAAAAAAAAAAAAAAAAGGAAAGAAAAGAAAGATTTCTGGGTCTCCAACCATAGGTTAGCATCTGCCCATGGGAATCTGAGCCAAATCTGAGGGTGCCAAGCTGACTGCCACAGCCACTGACCCTCTCCCTGGGTGGCTGGCTAGGATTCCCAGAGGATGGGACCCTGCTGCCACCACCCCTCTTCCCCTGCTATCTGATGGCTTCCTGTCTGTGCACTCTTGGCTTTCAGGAGAAGAGAAGCAGCTTCTCACAAAGAAACAGAGACTCTCCTACCCCCAGGGCTGGCAGGGCAGAGAGAGCTGATGAAATTGGCTTGGGTGGAGTTCCCGCGGTTACAGATAAGACCTTGGGGACAGGTAGTCCTCAGTCCCCAAATGCTTACGCAGCGTGTACCGTAGCTGTTAGGGGAGATGTCTAGGTGGGAAGATGTCTAGGCGGGGGTCTCCTTTCCACGCTTCCTTCCAGATGTCAGAACGGTCCCCGGAACACTGCGGTTCCCGCCTGGTCCACGGGGTGGCGCGCGGGTCACACAGCTGGGCTCCTTGGGCTAGAGAGGAAACGCCAAGCCAGGAGACGCCGACTCCTGGCGGTTCCTCACCACCGATGCTCAGCTTTTCGCAATTCCTAACCGCCTCCACCTCTGCCGCGACAGGTTGGCGTGGTGGTGACGTTCCTGGTGCTGCTTATTTTCTCCTACAACGTCGTCTTCCTGTTCGTGGGGACGGCAAGCCTGGGCCTGTTTCTCAGCAGCACCTTCCCCAGCATGCTGGCCTACACGGAGGACTCGCTGCAGTACAAAGGTGAGGGCCGGGCCCGAGCCAGGAGGCGCGCTCTATCTAGCTGGGCGCCGCCGCCTCGCTCTGCCCTGTCTCTCTGTGCTCTTTTTTTTTTTTTTTAATTTTATTATTATTATACTTCACGTTTTAGGGTACATGTGCACAACGTGCAGGTTTGTTACATATGTATACATGTGCCATGTTGGTGTGCTGCACCCATTAACTCGTCATTTAGCATTAGGTATATCTCCTAATGCTATCCCTCCCCCCTCTCCCCACCCCACAACTGTCCCAGGTGTGTGATGTTCCCCTGTGCTCTTCTAGGCCAGCACCATCTCCCAGCGAGAACGCTGCCCTAGCTCCCTGGAGAAATGAACACCCCCCTCCTGACTTTGGCGGGAGCAGGCCCACAGCCGGGGTGGTTCTGACCCGCTGGGCTCCCTCCATTCAGAATGATCCCCGTAATGATGGGATTTTAGGCCGCAGAGAAGCAGTTAAGCTTCTTTTTTCCATCCGCTTTGTCCCCATCGTAACGTCTGCTGACCTGCAGCTGACATTTTGTGCGATATGGATGTGCTGGAAATGCCAAGTTCAAAGAAAAGCAAAGATGCACAGGAGAAGTTATGGCATAGGAAAGGCATTTTGTAAGCTAATTTTCAGTAACAGTACGTGCCTGCCTTGTGGCTGTGGTGGATGTTAGAAACGTGGAGGATTAGAACACAGATCTGGTTTCAGGAGTCACACAGCCTCTTTGATGTCAGAAATCTCTAATTCTCTCGACTAATCTCCCTCCCCTTTCCCTAGCCTCCCGAGTGCCTATAGCAAAGATCTCTTTTTTAATGAGTTAATTAAAAATAATTATATTTTGAACATCACCAGA
Organism: Homo sapiens; assembly: GCF_000001405.40. Lineage (NCBI taxonomy): Eukaryota > Metazoa > Chordata > Mammalia > Primates > Hominidae > Homo > Homo sapiens. The sequence goes on from NC_000001.11 coordinate 205,593,144, forward strand.
GACGCACTAGAGGCTGGAAAACCAGCATTAAGATAAGCGATTTCTGGCCGCGCGGGGTGGCTCACGCCTGTAATCCCAGCACTTTGGGAGGCCAAGGCAGGCGGATCACGAGGTCAGGAGATCGAGACCATCCTAGCTAACACGCTGAAACCCCGTCTCTACTAAAAATACAAAAAAATTAGCCAGGCGTGGTGGCAGGCACCTGTAGTCCCAGCTACTCGGGAGGCTGAGGCAGGAGAATGGCGTGAACCCAGGAGGTGGAGCTTGCAGTGAGCACTCCAGCCTGGGCGACAGGGCGAGACTCTGTCTCAAAAAAAAAAAAAAAAAAAAGATGAGCGATTTCTTTAGAGAGGAGTGGGGGAAGTTGGTGTACAGGGAGAGTCAGGGCAGTTAGAGCTTCACCCAGCAGTTATCCACAGCCTGGATCCTTGAAATTGAAGGATAAGCCCCAGACAATTTTAGCACATAACATCACCATCAGTCGTTAGGAATAAAATCTTTTCTACGATAAACCTGCACACTTTTTGTTTTGTTTTCAAAATGGAATTTTTTTTATTATATAAGTCGTATGTGCTCACTGCAAAAACCTCAAACAATAGAAGCACAGTTTAAAGCAGTAAGTGAAAGTAGCTGAAAATAACCCTCTTAGCAGTTCATTTCCTCCCAGATCCCTTCTGAGCTTGTGAGACCATTCTCTGCGCTGTTTAATATTTGCAGTTTAGAAGACAATTCCTGTGAGAGAATGAATTAGAGAATCAAGTGTATCTGAGTTTCTTTGGCTTCTGGCTCCTCTGAGTGGGGGCACTACACATCATCTGAGAAACACCCCCAAATCAGGGCACACTTGGTATAAATTCCATTGAATCATGACTCTGAAGAGATCCTGGCCACGGTGAAAACTGAGGGCAGAAAATGCATCAGCCAGTCATCATCCAGGCAGCCCATCCCTCACCCATCTTTCTGCTACTCAGGACATCATGCTGGGCCCCACGGGACATGGCCAAGGAAACACAGTCTCTCCCTGCAGCTTGTCCTAACAACAGGACAGCCACGCACCCAGCTCCCATGGGCGAGGGCCCAGGAGCCCTCAGACTCCTCCCTCACGCATCAGTCTCCAAGCCTCAAGGGAATAAATGAAGTAATGAAATAAGGTAGCTATCACATGTCACACAGTACAACTCGAGAGTTTTAAGTGATCAACACATGTTAGAGTTTAATAATGATAAGTGAGGCTGGGTGCAGTGGCTCACGCCTGTAATCCCAGCACTTTGGGAGGCTGAGGCGGGTGGATCACTTGAAGTCAGGAATTTGGGACCAGCCTGGCCAACACAGTGAAACCCCAGCTCTACTAAAAGTACAAAAATTAGCTAGGCGTGGTGGCAGGCACCTGTAATCCCAGCTACTTGGGAGGCTGAGGCAGGAGAATTGCTTGAACCCAGGAGGTGGAGGTTGCAGCGAGCTGAGATTGCACTCCAGCCTGGGTGACAGAGCAAGACTCTGTCTCAAAAAAAAAAAAAAAAAGTGATATTGATTGATTCTGCCTGCAAATGATCACTCAAATCCATCATCTTCATTTCTTACTGTCCCTGCCTAATTTAAGGTCTTTATCTTCATTGACCTGCTTGGACTAGTTAATGGTACCCAGGTTTTTCCAAGTTCTAATCACCTCCATCCCTTCTTTGATGGGTCTTGGCTTGTCTCCTTGTCTTCAGTCTTGCCTCCATCTAACCCAGCTGGCTGAACATTAAAATCACCTGGAGTTCTGGTACCAAAACCCAGTGATTGGGCCTTACCTCTGAGTCTGATGCAACTGGTCCGGAGCTGCTGGGTGATTCTAATGTGCACCTAGAGGTGAGGACCATGTACTAAGCCACCCTCCACATGGTAAAACAGGGCTGTGCTTACTTCAGCAGCACATGTACTATAATTGGACCAACACAGAGATGATGAGCATGGCCCCTGTCCAAGGATGACATGCAAATGTGTGAAGTGTTCCCCCAAAAAAACCAGAAAACAGAGCTGATCACAACCTCCAGATCTACCTATGGGGCATCTTTCTCTCCAGACTTCTCTCTCCCTGCTTCCCCTGCAAACCTGCATCCTAGCCACGAATTACATGCTATTCCCTGATGGCACAAAAACTGTTCTGTACCTCCCTACTTTGGCACGTGGTGAACCCTCTGCCTGGAACATCCTCCCTGCTCCATCTCGCCCCTTTATCTTCCTGCTCTTCCTTCCAGACCTAACTCCAGGAAGTGTCCCTCTCCAGGAAGCTCCTCTGATCCCCACTGGAAAGGTGTGCCTCCCCTTTGTGCCCTTTGACGTTGCCCCTGTCTCTCATGTTTGACCCATCTCAAGACTTTTGTACCTAGGTTATCTGCTTCTCCTAGACAACATGACCCTACCAAGGGACAAGGGTAAGAGCACGGGCTGTGCAGGCAATAGCACACCTGGCAGTCCTGCCTCCAGAGTTACTGGCTTTATGACCTTGTGCAGTTTCACTTCCTTCCCCTCTCTGAGCCTCAATTTTCTCATCTGTAAAATGGGGATGCAAATACCTGCCTTTTAGGATTGTTTTGTGCATCAGAAAAAATGTAAAGCTTTTGACTTAGCATCAAAGCTGACTCACAGGCACTCAGTGTCTTGTTAACTCTTAGTATTCACCTGAGCATCCTCAGTGGTTAGCATAGAACCCAGTGGTCCTCAGTTTTTTAAACAAATGAGTGGAACAGACAGATGGGTGCTGCTGGAATTCAGGGAAGGGAGTGAGGGGGCAGTGTTGATTTAAATAAAAGTAGCTTCATAGAGGGGATGGGATGTGAGCTGGACCAGAATCTAGAAAAGCAGAGAGGAAAATGGAAAGGCCTTCCTGGGTAGGGTGGGGCAGTGAACAGAATGAGAGCAAAGGCACAGAGACAAGTCTGAACATAAGTGAGACTGAACGAGCTAGAAGGAATGTGAAGTCCAGAGTAGACAATGATGACAACCATTTTATTAAAAAAAAATAGTGTCTACTATGTGTTAGCTGCTGTGCTACTAACAGGCACTGGTTTTTGCCAGTGATCTATAAGACAAGGCATGGCCATCCTCTCCTGGGCTTCCAGCCTAGTGGGGAGGGCTAGCTGGTCAACAGACAGTGTGGTGAGAGCAGGTGCAGAGTGATATCACAGCACAGAGAAGCAACCCATCCAGGCATGGGGACCAGAGAGGAACATTACTGATGGAAGTCTAAACTAGGACCTAAAAGATCAATGGGAACCAGCTGGCCAACATGGTGGAACCCCATCTCTACTAAAAATACAAAAATTAGCCAGGTGTGGTGGGGCATGCCTATAATCCCAGCTTCTTGGGAGGCTGAGGCACTGTACTCCAGCCTGGGCGACAGAGCAAGACTCTGTCTCAAAAAAAAAAAAAAAAAAAAAAAAAAAAAAAAAAGATGAATGATAGTTTACCAGAAAAGAGGAGGAGGATGAATGTTCAGTGGGGAGTGAAGATGTGTGCTGAAGCCTGGAGGTGAGAGTTACGGAGGGTGGAGGGGGAGAGAGAAGCCTGAGCCATTAGCAGGGGCAGAGTCTAAAGGGCTCTGCAAACCACTTGAAAGTCCTTGGCCTTCATCCTGAAGGCAGTGCTGAGGGGCTTGCGCAGAGAGTTGGGCTGGTTTTGAGTTTACTGTGTGCCAGTCCTATGCCAGGCTCTTGGCATGTCTTACATCAGAGTTACCCACACGGTAAGTCTGTGAAGGAGGTGTGATGCTCATCTTACAGAGAAGGCAACCAAGGCCTAGAGAGGTTAGAGAACTTGTCTAAGGTCACATGGCCAGTAGGTGACAACCTGGGCTTGGAACCCAAGTCTGACTCTGAAGCTTGGGCTCTGAAGGTGTGCACCACACTGCCAGACTCATCAGGGCGTGTGGCTGGTCAGTGCAATGCCAGGACAGCGAAGACACTAGTCTGCCTGCACCAGAGGGCTAGCCTCAGGATATCAGGAAATCTTTCTGGAAAGGTAGGTAGCAGTCAGAATGGGAATGGCGCTGAATGCCAGGGCTAAGCAAGATGGGATTTACCCTGAGATATTGATGAGCAATTAAAGGTTTCAGAACAAGGAAAGGACAAAATGACAGTAAGACCTAGGCATTCCCAAAGCAAAGTTACAGGCTCATGTCTGAGAAATCCAAAGTAGTCCTTTCTGCCAGGCCATCTTCCAGAGGTTTCCCAGAAGCAACCTAGGTTGTTTTTTTTTTTTTTTTTTTTTTTTTTTCGTTTTTTGACAGGGTCTCACTCTGTCACCCAGGCTGGAGTGCAGTGGTGCGATCATGGCTCACTGCAGCCTCCAATTCATGGGCTCGAGGGACCCTCCTACCTTAGCCTCCCAAGTAGCTGGGACTACAGGTGCACACCACCATGCCCAGTTAATTTTTTTAAATTTTACTTTTTGTAGAGACCAAGTCTTGTGATATTGCCCAGACTGGTCTTGAACTCCTGGCCTCAAGAGATCCTCCCACTTCTGACTCCTAAAGTACTGGGATGTGCCTTCCGAAATGCATATGCCACTGTGCCTGGCCAGCAACCTGGATTGTAATGCTGGCTTCTGTCTCCTTAACTTGCTTTTACCAAACCAAACCTTCTCTTTTTGTTAGGCTGTGCAACCACAGTGCTGGTGACAGGGGCAGGAGTTGGCGAGATGGTGCTGCAGATGCTGGTTGGTTCGGTATGTGGGGACCTGTAAGGGAGAGGGGAGCATTTGGGGAGCACTCCTCTGACAGGTGAGAAGATGCAGATAGCCACCTTCTGAACTCAAACTGTCCCTTTCCTGAGTCTCCAGCAAAGCCAGCAGGGCCCCCTGTGCCGTTGTTACCTGTTTCCGTTTCCAAGCCAGCCCTGAGAGCTGAGCCTCCATATGTGGGATCTGGAGATGTAAACGGATGCATGGAAAAGTCCAAAGCAAACACAAGCCATGTCTGGGAGCAGGGCCAGAGGGGGCCCGTGGGAATGCTGTTTAGCTCTCAGAGCCTGAGATGGGTTGGAACTGCAGTCAGAGTTCTTTTTCCATCCCTTCGGAACCCACCACTCCCTACCCCACCTCTCACAGCCTCTGGCCACCCTGCAGAGGGCCCAGCTTCCTGCTCAACTCCTGCCCTGACCGAGAGGGCCAACTCTTCCAGTTCTATTCAAATCCACCCATGTTTCATTTATTCACCAGGAAAAAAAAAAAAACAACCTAACATCTACTTTTTATTGAATACTATAATGTAGATATTATTCCCCTTTTTACAACAGAGGACACGGAAACTCAGATGAATTTAGCAACTTACCCTAGGTCAGTCACACTTCCAGAAACTGACAGAGAGGACCTCACATCTAGATCTTCCGGCCTCCAAAATCTCCCTCATTGTGACTCCATTCTCCTTTCCTCCTCTTTTGCCCTGCTGGAGGGAGGGGAAGAGCTGCATCTCACCATACCCTCCTCATTGAAATGATGTGACATCTGGGACTTGCTTTAGTGTAACCTAGTGCAGAAAAGAAGTGCAAGGCCACCAATGAAACCGGTGCTGACTGCTAAAGTTGAGTGTTGGGTTCATTGGAGCTCCATATACTACTTTAACATGTTTTAAATTCTCATAATAAAAGAGTAAAACAATATATCCTCTGCAAAGTTCTGGTTAGGGCTTATGGGTATAGAAACACCTAGTATGACTGGAGCTTCAGTGATGATAGAGATCGTCAGAAGGTTCCAGAACACAGAGCTGCAAGGGACTGCAGGGGGTCACCAGGTCCAGTCCCTGCCTTAGAGCAGGACTTCGGCCTTCTCCAGACACATCAACTTGAAACAAGGCCAAGGCCTCCCTCCTCCCCGTGATTCCATCTCTTGGTGTGACGGGCCTCAACTTAGCTGAAAAACCAGCCAAGGATGGAGAAGGCTGCTTCCTCCGATACACCTTCCACGTGAAGTTTTAATTGTCTGTCTCTCTGTGTTTTCCCCTTTGGCAGATATTCCAGGCTCAGGGCAGCTATAGTTTCCTGGTCTGTGGCGTGATCTTTGGTTGTCTGGCTTTTACCTTCTATATCTTGCTCCTGTTTTTCCACAGGATGCACCCTGGACTCCCATCAGGTAAGGAAAGTATCTGTTTCTACACAAGAGGAGGAAAACAGAGCCGGGGTCGGGGAGCGGGGGAGCAGGAGATGCTATGGATCTTAACGTGCCAGAAACGCTGCTCTGTTCCAAGTAAAATGCAAGGAAATGTTTATTTTTCTACAGCTTCCTTTTCCTCTCTTCCTGCTTTCCATACGATTGTCTGCGCTGGACTCTTAAGATAGGCGAGAGCTGGGTCGGCTGACTCATGGTTTCTCCATTAGCAGAGGGGTATGGATTGTGAACTTGGCTTCCTGCATCCCACCATGTCATGGGACCATGAGCCAAGAATCTCTTTCCAGCCTGTTCAGGGAACTGAAAGGCAGAGCCCGACTCCTTGGCTGGAACTCAGCCCAACGGCCTAATTGGCCATCTCTTTGCAGTTCAGGATTTTGATTCTAGTCCAAATCTTTTTTTCAAAAAGAAGTCCTTCAGGCCAAGTAGCAAAGAAAGTCTCCTTCAGGGCACAGACACCTCCTAAGAATAGTCTCCCTTCTAGAGACCCCAGGCAGGGGGAGTCCCAAAGCAATTTTCATAACCCTGAGCCCTTACCTGCCCTTTTGCCCACTGCTTTCAAAGTGCCCAGGGACTGCATCGGCTGTGTGCAAAGCCAGTTCTTAAGAGAAGGTGCCCAGGCGGAGACTCTGTCCTCCCTATAAAAAGCAAAATCATCACAAAAAGACTAAAGGAACAGGCATTCACCATCCGCTCTCAGTGGGTGAACATATCTACGCTCTAAACGCTCAGTACAAAGGCCCAGAAGGAAAGGTGGCCCCCAAAACAGCACTAACTATAGCCTCACTTCTGAGACAGCAGTACTGGTTGCACACACACAGGAGTTTCATTTAAGACCTACATTCAATTAATATTTGCTGAACATTAAATGAATAACACTTAATGGGCTCCTTATTCATGGGAGACAGACACATTCCCCAAGCCCTAGACAGCAGTCTCAGGAAACTGCCTCCACCAACTGTTCGCCAGAACTAGGGGGTCTGACTTTTCACTTTGCTCCCTCTAGAGCCACAGAATGGCAGAGAAACAAACAGCCTGGGTAAGCTCTCAGAATGAATCATCACTGCAACTCATCAGAGCTGCTGAAACATGCTACCTGTTTTGTTTTTCTTTTGTAGTTCCTACCCAAGACAGATCAATTGGAATGGAAAACTCTGAGTGCTACCAGAGGTAAAACTGGGTGAAGAAGGCAAGAGAAGACTTTCAGCCTCTTGATCACCAGCACGACCATACTGTTTCAGAAAGCTGGGTGGTGGTGGAGGCGCTCTCTCAATGGCTATTCAAGTCTTCTCCACTAAAACTTGGTTGGGTAGAGGAAATTAAATTGAGTCCTGGTACCTGGTCAAAATCATTAGAAGTTTACCTGGCTTCTCAAGTTATCTTCTTCCCTGGTTCAGACTGTTGGTAAGAGCTGTCCAGATACCCAGATGGGAAGGAAGGAGACAGCCGCGCGCTTCACTCCATTTGTCACCTCATGCATGGACCATACTCTGGGTTTGAGATCATTCTTCATTGAAGTTTGTAAAAATAGGTTGAAATTGTAAAGCTCCATGATCATTGCTATATGTAGATATATTTCAATTTAAGCAAAACAAGCTGCAAGTTATTCCCTGGCATGCTCAAAGGATTTTCGTGCTTTTCACTTAATAGTCCAAAGTCTCTTAAATTCCTGCTGCAGACATCAATAGCTTATCTATATTCTCAAACACCAAAAGGAAAAGTTGAATCTTGCTCTCTTTGGTATACTAATGTAGTGGTATGCTAAGCTGGCTCATACCAACTTAGAAAAGCTGATTGTAAAATTTTCATTTTGACAGCTGGTTATTAAATGCAGCCATTATTAAAAATCAAATCATACAAACTTATAATTAAATCAATTACATTTAAAACAAAGGTAATAAATATTCAAAGCATATCACTTCCTAATTTGATCTTGATGCTCTTGAGGTAATTTACGTCCATGGTACCTGTGTGGTGGAATTACTATATATGATGGTGTGCTACTGTGCACCTTGTCTCAACTCCACTCTTCGTGATAGCATGTTGGTAGCTTGAAATCAGCCTGGTGGGAGTATTACCATGGACACTGGCAAAAGCTACAGATCCCGGAGAGCCAGTGGTTAAACATTTACCAGCATACCACTGCTAGTAATCAAGGCTAACTGGTCCAGAAATCGCCCAGGAGAATGAAATGGATGTTCCATTTTTTTCTACTGACATTGACTAGCATATAAAAGGTATAGAAACAGCACTAAGACTTTCTGAAAATACCTAATGAAAATTTTACATCTTTTTTTGTTTTTGTTTTTGTTTTTGAGACAGAGTCTCACTCTGTTGCCAGGCTGGAATGCAGTGGCGTCATCTCGGCTCACTGCAACCTCCGCCTCCCAGTTTCAAGCGATTCTCCTGCCTCAGCCTCCCAAGTAGCTGTGACTACAGGCGCATGCCATCACGCACAGCTAATTTTTTGTATTTTTAGTAGAGACGGGATTTCACCGTGTTAGCCAGGATGGTCTTGATCTCCTGACCTCATGATCTGCCCGTCTCGGCCTCCCAAAGTGCTGGGATTACAGGCGTGAGCCACTGCACCCAGCCAAAAATTTTACATCTTTTATAGAGGGAAAAAAACTCTTTATACCATGGCAAGGCCTTTTCTTTCACAAAAAGCTGGGCCTACTGAACAATTCAAGCTGTGCAGTAGTAGACTGAAAGCAGGATTTGTTGAGGAGTTACAGCTCCTGTCCAGAGCAAATCCTGTAGTGATACAAGGAGAATGTAAACTTGCCAGCTTAGACAGGGATCAGTCCTGAGACTGCTGGCAGTAGCAAATGGCTATTAGAGTAACTGTATAATGGTTTTGCCTGCACTTTCTCTATGTATATACAAATGTACATGTATAAATATAAAAATTAAGTGATCATGGTTCTTGGTAACCTGTCCCAAGTGCTGTGATTCACACGCCTGACACTAAAAGGTTCTTCCTGGTCCAGTCAGCCAGCTGTGACCACCAGCAGCACAGCTGAGTGCTGAGAATCTGGCTGGAAAGAGAAACGTGGCTCAAGTGCTGGCTCACCTTCTAGCTGTGTGGCCCTGGGCAGGTTACTGAGGCTCTTCCAACCTCACTTTTCACATGTAAAATGGCATTTCTAAAAGTACCTACCCTACCTCAAAGGAATTCTGAAAAAAGTAAGTGAATTTGTATAAAGCAAAGCACTCACAATATGCCTGACACACAAACTGCTTAATAAATGTTAGTAATTTTTAAAACCTCCTCATAAGCGGCTTAGAAATTATTCATGTTTGGTACATATTTATTGCAAGTCAAGCAGATCCAACTTTTTTGAAAGCTGGTGGTCTAGGAGTATAGTTTTAATTATATTTGTAAATACTCAAAAGTATTAGATGCCAGTCTAATTTAAATGCAGTCTGACTGTAGCGAGTAACTGACCTGGGCAATGAAAAAGCAGTTGTATTTTTCTTGTGGTTTTTCAAGAAAATATCCTTTTTATACAGATTTAGAAAGAAGAATCAATGGCTATATCGAAGTTGATTGTGACTAATTTGTTAATACAGAAAACAACATTAACACAAATCTAAGAGTACCTTTCCTAAAATAAAATATTTAAACTTATTAAGTGTGTTATCCATTATGAAGAACAATTGATCCTCTTGCATACACTCAGAAACAAATGGTCTGATGTTCCCCAGAGGCAGGTCTCTCTCATACTAATAAGTTAATGTGGCTTATATTTTAGAAGAAAGAAAACTGTCTCACAAGGGAAACTCTGAATTTTTTTAAAAAAAGATAAATAAATAAATAAATAAATAACCTCTCATAGCAGGGCTAAGTGCCACTATTCCCTATTACATAAAATCAGAATAAGGAATAAGGAAAAGGCAGGTCGATTCTTACACCACACGCTTCTCAGTTACACAAGTAGGACTTTCTTCCTCATCTTCCTTTCAGGAATTTGGACATTTCAGAATCCTGTGGAATCACCCTGTTCCCAGATTTTCCTCTGCTACTTGTATATGGAAATCTAACCCATCAGGCACATCGGATTCACTAAAAGAAGACACAGTGACATAGAGTTCTTTTAGAGTGAATTTCGTTTATTCAGTCAAAAAGGATTTGTTAAGCACCTGCTATGTTCAAGGCACTAATCTAGGTACAGACATACAGTGGTGACTGAGACAGAAGTCCCTGCCTCACAAGGATTATACCGCAGGTGAAGACATACAGACAGCAAACAAATACTACACGTAACATGCCACAGGGTGAGGGGTAATGTAGCACCATAGAGAAACATACATACAGGGAATATGGAATAGGATATGGGAATGCCACAGGGTGAGGGGTAATGTAGCACCATAAAGAAACATACAGGGAGTATGGAATGGGAATAGGGAATGTCAAGAGATGCTCTAGGGCCAGGCACAGTGGCTCACACCTGTAATCCCAACACTTTGGGAGGCTGAGGCAGGCGGATCACCTGAGATCAGGAGTTCAAGACCAGCCTGGCCAACATGGCAAAATCCTGTCTCTACTAAAAATACAAAATTTAGCTGGGCCTGGTGGTGCACACCTGTAATCTGTAATCCCAGCTACTGGGGAGGCTGAGGTGGGAGAATTGCTTGAACCTGGGAGGTGGAGGTTACAGTAAGCTGAGATTGTGCCACTGCACTCCAGCCTGGGTGACAGGGTGAGGCTCTGTCTCAAAAAAAAAAAAAAAAAAAAAAAAGATGCTCTGGAAGGCGTTTCTAAGGAGGTCCTATTTGTGTAGAAAACTAAATGATACGTGGGACCAAGCTATCCAAGTACGTGAAAACATCCCATCAGGCAGGGGGCACAGCAAGTACAAGAGCCTTAGGCTGGAATATGCTTATGGTATTGGAGGAACAGCAAGTAGGCTGGTGTGGCTCAACTGCAGTGAGGAAGAGTCAAACGGAACAAGTGGGAGTGGTTGCTAGAGGCCAGATCATACAAGCCATGGTATGTGTAGAGGTTTTTTGGAGTGATGTAAGATGACTGGAAGAGTTGTGAGCAGGCAAGCGACACGATCTGATTTACATATCTAAAGTATCACTGGTTACTATGGAAAAGAGACTATGGGGCAAGCATGGAATTGGGAAGACCACCTGGGTACCACTGCAATAGACTGAAGAAATAATGGTGGCTTGGAAATGTAGATAGCAACGGAAGTGGTGAAAGTGATTGGATTCAAGCAATATTTTGAAGGTGAAACTGACAATTTGCTGATGGATTGGGTGTAGTGTGAGAAAGATAAGAATCAAGGATGGGCCGGGAACGGTGGCTCACGCCTGTAATCCCAGCACTTTGGGAGGCCAAGGCAGATGGATCACCTGAGGTCAGGAGTTCGAGACCAGACTGGCTAACATGGCAAAACCCTGTCTCTACTAAAAATACAAAAATTAGCTGGGTGTGGTGGCAGGTGCCTGTAATCCCAACTACTCGGGAGGCTGAGGCAGGAGAATCGGTTGAACCTGGGAGGCAGAGGTTGCAGTGAAGTGAGATCACGCCACTGCACACCAGCCTGGGTGACAAGAGTGAAACTCCGTCTCAAAAAAACAAACAAAAAAGAATCAACGATGACCTGAAGGAATCTGACCTAAGTAACTGGGTACATGATGAAGCCATTTAACTCTGGAAGGCCATGGGGAGACATTCTGAGTTCTATTTTGGACATGATCATCTTATGATGCAATCTTGGATGTCAAGAAGGCTGTTAGATATAGAAGTCTAGAGTTTAAAAGAGAAGTCAAAGCTGAAGATACAAATTTTGTGGTCACATAAAGAAGTATTTAAAGTCATAGGACTAAAATGACACAAGCTAGGGAATGAATGTAGAGATGGACAGATTGAGCCCTGGGATTCTTCAACATCTAGAGTTTTAGAAAAAGAACAAGTCCCAGCAGCGCACATGAGAAAAGCCAGAGAAATAGGAAGTTCAGGAGAAAATGTGGTTTCCTGGAGGGCACATGAAGTGCATCTCAAGAAGGAGTTAAGTAATCAGTGCTGCCAAGAGGTCCAATGAACACCGAATGTCAACCACCAGATGTGGCAACATGTAAGGCAATATGACCTTGACCAAAGAAGATAGTTTTGGTTAATTATGGTGACATATTCAAAACATATGGTGGTGGCTCATGCCTGTAATCTCAGTGCTTTGGGAAGCCAAGGTGGGAGGATCATTTGAGCCCTGAAGTTTGAGGCTGCAGTGAGCCATGACTGTGCCACTGCACTTCAGACTGGGTGACAGCACGGTTGACCCCAAAACAAAACAAAAAACATGGGAACCATCCAATGGACTCCTTAACACCAATGCTTGTCAGCTGACTGGCACAGCTGTTTGAGTTTGCGCTTTTTTTTTTTTTTTTGAGACGGAGTTTCACTCTCATTGCCCAGGCTGGAGTGCAATGGCGTGATCTTGGCTCACTGCAACCTCCGCCTCCCGGGTTCAAGCGATTCTCCTGTTTCAGCCTCCCTAGTAGCTGGGATTACAGGCACGCGCCACCACACCCAGCTAATTTTGTATTTTTAGTAGAGACAGGGTTTCACCTGTTGGTCAGGCTAGTCTCTAACTCCTGACCTCCGGTGATCTACCTGCCTCAGCCTCCTAAAGTGCTGGGATTACAGGCGTGAGCCACTGCGCCCGGCCCACTCCTGTTTCATTTAATAAAATGAAGTCACTTTCATAGACTCCCTGCAGTTACAGGGGGTCGGTCGTCCAGTTAGTACAGTGTTTTGTAGCAACAATCAATGTGAAATCATCTAACTGTTAATTATTATCTCCTACCTGATAATGCCAACCCTGGAAAATTACCCAATATTAGGGTATTAGTTTGTCATTAAACGCACCTATAAAACACAGAAAGTGCTTGCAAAACAGGTAGGCTTCTCAAAATAAGTGTCAACAGTCAGAAAGGTTAGAAAACGGTGGTGACTTAAACAGGCTTTTTTTTGTTTGAGATGGAGTCTCGCTCTATCGCCCAGGCTGGAGTGCAGTGCCATGATCTCAGCTCACTGCAAGCTCCACCTCCTGGGTTCACGCCATTCTCCTGCCTCAGCCTCCCAAGCAGCTGGGACTCCAGGCGCCCGCCACCACGCCCAGCTAATTTTTTGTATTTTTAGTAGAGACGGGGTTTCACCGTGTTAGCCAGGATGGTCTCGATCTCCTGATCTCGTGATCCACCTGCCTCGGCCTCCCAAAGTGCTGGGATTACAGGCATAAGCCACCACGCCCAGCCTAAACAGGCTTTTTAACTGAAGGACTTGGCACTTTTCATATTCTGAAATTTCCTTTTGAATTTCCGTGAAGAACCCATTTCCCAAACTGATTTTACCTCGTGGGACTACCGTCGCAGTTGATACTCTGAGAGCAGTGTGTTAGGAGCATGCAGTAGTCCTCACTGTGCTCCACATGCTGACTGACCCACCAACCAAAGTGACATTTCACCCATTTCACCAGGGTAGTGAACTGCCCCCTTTGCCCCAGAACAATCTGTCACTCTATCCTCCTGTGATTTTCATTAAGAGATACGAAAACAGCTCTCTGCTGTCATTTTGCCACCTATAAACCCCACTTTTGGGCTGGTTACAGTGGCTCATGCCTGTAATCCCAGCACTTTGCGAGGCCAAAGCGGGCGGACCACCTGAGGTCAGGAGTTCCAGACCAGCCTGACCAACACGGAGAAAACCCGTCTCTACTAAAAATACAAAATTAGCCGGGTGTGGTGGCGCATGCCTGTAATCCCAGCTACTCGGGAGGCTGAGGCAGGAGAATCGCTTCAACCCAGGAGGCAGAGGTCGCAGTGAGCCGAGATCGCACCATTGCACTCCAGCCTGGGCAACAAGAGCAAAACTCTGTCTCAAAACAAAACAACCCACTTTCCCTTATGTATATTATTTTGACCCAATTCTAAAAAAGCCTAATTTCATTTGCTAAGTGAAGTCTACATTGCTTTTTACAAGGGCTAGATAAAAGCCTCTGATTTTTTTTTCTTTTTTTTTGAGATAGGATCTTGCTCTGTCACCCATGATCACACCAGTGCAGTGGTGTGATCTCAGCTCACTGCAACCTCTGCCTCCCGGATTCAAGCGATTCTTCTGCTTCAGCCTCCCGAGTAGCTGGGACTACAGGCACACCCCACCACGTCCAGCTAATTTTGGGAGGATTTTTAGTAGAAACAGGGTTTCACCATGTTGGCCAGGCTGGTCTCAAACTCCTGACCTCAGGTGATCCACCTGCCTTGGCTTCCCAAAGTGCTGGCATTACAGGTGTGAGCCACTGCACCCAGCTGATTAAATTTTTAAAAACCCTTTATTTTTCAAGTAAAACAAAAAGAGATTTCACATGGTGAATATTTTTTCTAGCCACTCAGTTCTCTCTTAATTCCTTTTATGTCAACAATCATTTTACAATCTCCCCTGTTCACCACCTATCTGAATCTAGACTTTAAATATTTTAATGTAGATACATATCAAATTGTTGAAGGCCAGATTTTAATGATAGCCATTGGGAAAACAACTCTTTCCTGACCCACAGTTAGCATGGATGAAAATGTAATACAGAGACTGTAAAGAGACCACCTCAATGAATGTGAGAGAAGGGAATAAATAATCAATTCAGAAAATCATTTTGTTAAAAATATTTATTTAAAAAAATACAACTGCTGTCCATATCTAGTTGCACATATATCTATTAACATATATGTATACTTTTAGACTTGTAGTAAATTTGCTACAGTGCTTTTGTAAAGCCAGCCTGCATTATACAAAGCAAATTCCTCTGTCAGTTCTTACATAAAATAGATTTTTAAAAATGTATATCTTTCCTAAAAGATGCATATCACCATTATAGAATTTAACAAAATTTTTGCATAAAACCTGGGAAGTGATAGAAAAAATGATCACCTGATTGGTCAGAGCAACCCCTTACTATGTCTGGAGATGCACTGAGTATCAACTACACATTTTTTTTTTCAAGCAGCATATTATTATAAAGCCCTCAAAGTGCTTTTGCATCCTTTCGCTCACCTCTCTACACTCTATAAAGTTTCTCTGCCGTATACAGATAGAATTCAAGACTCTAGCTACAATCATCCTAATCAATCTTAGAGCAATATCCCTTTGTTTCCCAACAGGTAAGTCAGACTGCTTAGCTAGGAGATGTGGCAGCTTCCCTCCAGCTGTTTCATCAACTAACATGAAGTTTAATAAATGTTAGCAGTGACCATTTTAATTGCTTTTTTAGGAAAAAGAAAAAAAAAAGGTGCTTTTAATACTTTGAAGGTGCTTTTTAGGTCTCCCTAATGTAAATTATGCTGAAATCAACTAAGACGAGCTATTATTAACACTTTAACAGTTATCCATTCCTCTGGGTAGGTGTGCACTTACATTATATGTAAGTATCTCTACAAAGTGTTAGATACTGGATATGAGATACAGATTTCAATAAAACAAGGGAAAAAATAAGCAATGAAGTAACTGTCTTCTCAGTTGAGCTGACAGGTTTGAAGAA